>NT_167247.2:2183573-2236239 GCF_000001405.40 Homo sapiens
GGCCAGGCTGGTCTCGAACTCCTAACCTCAGGTGATCCACCCGCCTTGGCCTCCCAAAGTGCTGGGATTACAGGAGCGAGCCACCGCGCCCATCCATGATGTTCTCATGGCCAACATCCTGAGGTCTCCCAAAGGCAAGGGCTTCTTTGCTTGCCCACTGGTTTGGGTACAGATATATTTGTGGACTCTGGAGTCCAGGTGTCAGGGTATAGCTTCCTGAGGTGCCCCAGGCAGCTGGTCTCCTCTGAGGCCTTGATGATAGCCCTTGACATGCCTGGGGCTGTGGAGCTGGGGATGGTCTCCACCCCACAGGGATCCACCTACCTCAGCCGGTATCCAGTCCAGGGCCTCTGTCTTCTTGGCTGCCCTCAAGGCACTGGGCTCCTTTAGACACTCCCCACCACACCCTTAATCCTCTCAGGGAACTCCAGTCTCCAGCAAACAAAGGCCTGAAAAGTGTCTACAAGGAAATTCTGAGTTCAGGTTTCTGAGGTGAAGGAGCACAAAGTCCTTTCTCCTGGCTTGGAAGTGCAGGGTGGTGCGAAGAGTGGGAGGGAGGCAGGGTTAGGTGAGGAAAAAACAGAAAACACAAATTAATTTGACAATGATATGTTAACTTAAAAATCACAACTTTAGGCTGGGCAGACAGTGGCTCTTGCCTGTGATCCCTGCGCTTTGGTAGGTGGAGGTGGGAGGACTGCTTGAGGGTAAGAGTTCGAGACCAGCCTGGGCAACATAGTGAGGCCCTTTCTTTACCAATAAATAAATAAATAAATAAATAAAAATTAGCTAGGTGTGCTGGCACACGCCTGTAGTCCTACCTACTCAGGAGGCTGAAGTGGATCCCAGTAGTTTGAGGCTGCAGGGAGCTATTTACTCCAGCCAGGGCAACAGAGTGAGACCCTGTCTCTTAAAAAAAAAAAAAAAAGAAAAGAAAAATCATAAATTTGGAAAGGAGAGCTTTATTTCTTTTAAAGAGTTACTGCTGACTGGGCATTGTGGCTCACATCTGCAGTCCCAGCACTTTGGGAGGCTGAGGTGGGTGGATCGTTTGAACCCAGGAGTTCGAGACCAGCCTGGCAATACTGATGCAGAACTTTGCTCCTCAGTTCAGCTAAAACCGGGTTCTTGTCACATGACCAGGAAAAGTTAAGCAGGCAGACACTTTGAAGGGTGAGGGGAATGGAATTTTTTGGGTGAAAAAGGAAAAGAAGAAAAGAAAAACCTCTCAGCAAAGAGCAAGGGGGGTTCCTGCCAACAGGTCCCCACTCCACAGATTGATTCCAGGCCACACACAGTAGCTGAAGAGGCCAGGCTCCTCCCCGACCACTGCACACTCGGCACGAACTTCCCGTGGCTCCACCCCATTTTCCCAGTATGCAGGCAGGTGATTCTCCAGGGACCCTCCCCTTTATCTGTCTCCTGCATCTATCATTATCTATTTTATTTTATACATTTAAAACACTATTCTGCCGGGTGTGGTGACCTGCATCTGTAGTCCCAGCTACTCAGGAAGCTGAGGCAGCAGGATCTCTTGAACTCAGGAGGTGGAGGCTGCAGTGAGCTATGATCATGACAATGCACTCCATCCTGGGCAACACAGCAAAACCTTGTCTCAAAACAAACAAACAAAAAACAAAACCCCACCATTATTCTCAGAAGTACAGCAGCTTTCACAAATTGCCAAAGGGGTCTGTTTTAGGTTAGTTTCCTTCAGAAGCAGATCTGGAGACAAAGATTTGAAGCAAGGAGGTTATTAGAGAGGAAATCCCTGGCATAATTGATAAAGTAGACAGGAAAGGGCAGAAGCCAGCATGGGGTGCATCGATGAGCAATGAACTTAATGAACTCCTTGGCTCAATCCCACTGGGACCTTCAAGAGACTACTGTATAGAGCATGCCTCGGAGTCATCCTACCCTTGAGGAAGCTGGGGTATTTCTTCACCAAATCCCATTTCACTTGAGGGCTGCCCCCAGGGCACTGACATTTCTAGCCTGCCCTACCCATGGGTAGTGCTCCTGTGACTAGGGTAAGTCCTCAACAGTGTCAGAGGCTTAAAGACGGAGCCATCTGAATGGCAACCTTAGAGGACAAGTGGGTAGGGCACAAAGTTTGGCTACAAGGCCTGCAGCACTAAAAGGTTAGGAACGCCTCAGAGCTGCCCCTTTTAGGATGGACCCACTCAGCTCCCCGGTTCCCACTCCCTGACATCTGCTTTCTGTCCGCTGCTCAGTGTCTCCAGTGGATTCACAAAACAACTGCCTTTCTCCCTTTCCACCTCAGTTCATTATCAAGAACAACCCTGGGGTTTCCCACCTTAATCAGGCTGCTCCGGCCTCTGCCCACAGCCCTTCTGACACCTGGTTTATGTGTGACCCTGCCACCCTTAACCCCCAGCAGCAGGGGATGTCAGCTTTCTTTCAGGGAAGAACACAGACTCCTTTTGAGAGACTATAGTGAGATAATTTTGTAAACTGAAAATAAAATCCTAAGCCCCCCAGTTGACTTAATGGACCCCCTCTTGGCCAAGGGGACCCCAGAGAAACCTTAAAAACTGAGTTCCCAGGCAGGAGAGGATGGGAGGTCAGACACGCCTCGTCATACCTCATCCCTTTTGTGGTTTAGACAACCACTGACCAGCATTAATAAACCAGAGATCATAAGACTGACAGAACAAAGTATTTGAGCCAATGAAAGACCAAACTATAAACAAGACTTAAGGCCATGGCAGGTCAGGGTTAAGTCACACACCCCTGCACTTAAAGAAAAAGTGTTCTGCCACAAGGTTTTAATTTTTCTCTAGCAGCCAAACGAACATTGGCCTTGAGATAAGCAAGATTAAAACAACTTGCAGATCGTCCATCAGCCAAAACTACAGCTTGGGTTGAACACGAGACTGATTTCAGTAACCTTCTCCTGATAAGAAGACTACTGACCATGGACTGGTTCTGGCTGGTTTACAGATGCTGCATACTTGAGTTTGCTTGTGTCCTGAAAAGACCTTTTGATGTATAAGACCTAATTGTAATACATTTATTTTTTTTTAATTAATTTATTTTTTTTTTGAGACGGAGTCTCACTATCGCTTAGGCTGGAGTGCAGTGGTGCGATCTCGGCTCACTGCAAGCTCTGCCTCCCAGGTTCATGCCATTCTCTTGCCTCAGCCTCCCGAGTAGCTGGGACTACAGGCACCCGCTACCATGCCCGGCTAATTTTTTTTGTATTTTTAGTAGAGACGGGGTTTCACCCTGTTAGCCAGGATGGCCTCGATCTCCTGACCTCATGATCCATCTGCCTCAGCCTCCCAAAGTGCTGGGATTACAGGTGTAAGCCACCGCGCCTGGCCAGCTGTAATACATTTAAATGCTAAGTCTCCACCCTACGGTGCACATGGGTCATATGCAATATACTAGTTTATTCAGTATATGTGCTTCAGGACCACTTTCATGAATATTCATAGCTCCTTCTGTAACCTGTTGAATATGTATACTTGGCCAACCCAGTCAGATTAAATTCCTTTCTTATTCCTCCTCGTCCCTCAAAGTTCATTCTCTAGGCTCTGCCAGAGGCTATGCTTCCCACTAGTCCGAATGGTACATTGTAGGCTGCAACTCTTTATTTTTATTTTATTTTTAAATTTATTTTTGAGACACGGTCTCACTCTGTCACCCAGGCTGGAGTGCAGTGGTGCAATCACAGCTCACTGCAGCCTCGACCTCCCGGGCTCAGGTGATTCTCCAACCTCAGCCTTTCAAGTAGCTGGGACCACATCCGTGCACCACCAGGCCCAGTTAACTTTCACAATTTTCGTGGAGACAGGGTTTCACCATATTGATAGATGCAGGAGGTAGATAAGGGAAAGGGTCCCCAGAGAATCTCTGACCTGCCTATGCACTTGGGAGAAGGGGGTGGAGCCACGGGAAGTTCGTGCCATGTGCAGTTGGGGAGGAGCCTGGCCTCTTCAGTTCTTGTGTGTAGCCTGGAATCAGTCTGGGGGTGGGGGTGCTGTTGGCAGGAACTCTTCTTGCTTTGCTGAGAGATTTTTTTTTTCTTCTTTTCCTTTTTCACCCAATAAATTCTGTTCCCCTCACCCTTCAATGCGTCTGCGTTCCTAGCTTTTCCTGCTTGTGTGACAAGAACCTGGTTTTAGGGTTTAAGGAACAAAGTTCTGCATCAATAAGATTCAAAAGAAATCATTCTATTGAAATATGATTCTAGGCACAGGCTAGTTGGGGGTCTCTGAGCCCCAGATCCCACAGCTGTGCTGAGATGCCTGCCCACAAGCTCAAGGAGCATGTCTAGGAGTCCACGGAGGCAAGCAGAGGCAGGAAGAGGAGACCAGAATTCAGCTGCCGGTGGTGAGCCTCAGGAAACTCTTTATCAAAGCCTAGAAAAGCCAAAGGTGGGCCCGAGAGGGAAGAAAGAGACAAAGAGATGGGAAGAAGATGGAAGTAGGACACTTAGAGTGGGAAGGAAAAAGAGCAAGAGAAAGTGAGAGGGAGCAGCAGAGCCCTGGGAAGGGAGCTTGAAGGGGTGGGGCACGTTTGGAAGCCTCTGTGATTATTTGGGGAAGGCTGATTTTCTAGTGCCTTGGGCTGGGCCCATGCAGGTTACTTCCTACCCAGCTACCTTCCTGGCTCTTCTGCCCAGGGAGCTCCTTCTGCCAGTCCCCAGCCTACTGCACTTCTTCCTTATATGCTTGGAGTGTGTGGAATGCTGCTCACCACTCTGGGGCAGTTGGAGACTGAGATAACTCCCTCCCTGGAATGTAGGGAATTTGGTGTGCTGGAAAGAGAGAAAGAGAGAGGGAGACAGAATGTACCTTGCAGCAGCACAGCTGGGTTCTGGATGGGCTCCATCTCTGAAAGAGAGGGGCAAAAGGGTTGGGGAAGGGGTAGCTGCCGGTCTTAGTGAAGGGTCCCCGAGGCACTAGCGTGTCCTCACATTTGTGCTGCCTGCTTCCCAGAAGACTCAGCACATGGGGAAAGTGGTGCCAAGGGCACACCCACCAGCCACACTGTGGAGCTTGGACACCTGGGGCAGGATATTCAGTAGTCGGCCTGGGGACCTCCAAAGATGCTTTCCCATTCCTTAGCCTGTCAGCCTTGGTAGGGACATCACTTTCCTCCTTATCCTTCAATGAGGACATTCAAGACAACATCCCTGAGCTGGAGGAAACCCAGCCTCACCTCCTCCTTCCACCCCTCATCTCCTAAGCTCCCCATCGGTGGTGTCTGGGGTGTGGAACGTGGGGAGGCAAGGAAGACAGCTCACCTGGCCCAGGCTTCAATGCTCAGCCCCTCTTATTCCTTCTAGCAAGAGCTTCTTGCAAATACCTCAATTTTTTTTTTATCTTCTGCAGCTGATGCTCAAACTGTCAACTTGTTACTTGAGACCATGAATGTTGGTTATAAGAATTTGTTGACTTTTTAAAAAAATAAAAATGATGTTTGCCCACTTAAAGTTTTAAATTCTGTTTTTCAGAGGAGTTTTTTTTTTTTTTTTTTTTGAGACAGTCACCCTCTGTTGATATGGCTCTGATGAGTGGAGGAACACCAGGGCTCTTGTCTCACATCGAATTAGATAAGATGACACGAACACACGTGGAGTGGTTTTAAGGAGCGGAGAGTTTAATAGGCAAGAAAGAAGGGAGAAGAAAGAAAGAAGAAACTCCCTTGTACAGAGACAGAGGGAGGGGGGCTCCAAAGCCGAGAGATGGAACCCCGCACTTAGGTAATACCAGCCAGCTATATTCGATGGGTGGAGGAGGCAGTATCTGATCTGCATAGGACTCAGGGGATTGGTTTGACCAGGCATGTCATTCATGTAGCCGGCGAAAAAGCTGGCCCTCCCACCCTAGCCTTTTAATATGCAAATGTAGGGCTGTGTCATGTTCCACACACGTGGGGATATGTGGGGGCGGCCATGCTGCCAGGCACATGTAGGGGCAAGGGCAAGAGGACAAAGGTGGGAATAGCCTTGTTGGGTGGACCCAGTTTCTAACAGCTAGCGTTTGCATATAAAAGGTTGCTGGCCCAAGTCTAAGAGCCAGGGCTTTCATGCTAGACAAGAGCTGTGAAAAATTTTCCATGGACCTTTTTCCTCTCTATCTGCCTAAAATAATTTCTTAATAACTCCTACCTCACTGTAGCCTAGGTTGGAGTGCAGTGTGGCAACATCTCGGCTCACTGCAACCTCCGCCTCTCGGGTTCAAGCAATTCTCTTGCCATAGCCACCCACATAGCTGGGACTACAGGCACCCACCACCAAGCCCGGCTAGTTTTTTGTATTTTAGTAGAGAGGGGTCTCACCATGTTGGCCAGGCTGGTCTTGAGCTCCTGAGCTCAAGCAATCCACCTGCCTTGGCCTCCCAAAGTGCTGGAATTACAAGCATGAACCACTGTACCTGGCCTTTCATAGGAGATTAATGGCTGATTTTACCCACCAACCTGGTGATCATGAACCAGCCATCTATAACCTTGTTGATCTAGCTCAACCCATTATATAAAACTGTGCTTGGATTGTATGGAATGCTACACACTTACAATTAAAGATATTTAGAGCTGGGCATGGTGGGTCACACATGTAATCATAGCACTTTGGAAGGCCAAGGAGGGAGGATTGTTTGAACCTGGGATTTCCAGAGCAGCCTAGGCAACATAGTGAGAACCCATTTCTTTTTTTGTCTTTTCTTTTCTTTTCTTTTTTTTTTGAGATGGAGTTTTGCTCTTGTTGCCCAGGCTGGAGTGCAATTGCGCGGTCTCAGCTCACTGCAACCTCCGCCTCCTGGGTTCAAGTGATTCTCCTGCCTCAGCCTCTTGAGTAGCTGGGATTACAGGCACGTGCCACCATGCCCGGCTAAGTTTTTGTATTTTTAGTGGAGATGGGGTTTTACCATGTTGGCCAGGCTGGTCTCGAACTCCTGACCTCAGGTGATTCACCCCCCTCAGCCTCCTAAAGTGCTGGGATTACAGGCATGAGCCACCATGCCAGGTGGGGGTAGGTGGGGAAGCCCATTTCTATTAAAAAAAAAAAAAAAAAGGCCAGGTGTGGTGGCTCATGCCTGTAATCCCAGCACTTTGGGAGGTCAAGGCAGGAGGATCACCTGAGATCAGGAGTTCGAGACAAGCCTGCCCAACATGGTGAAACCCCGTCTCCACTAAAAATACAAAAAATTAGCCGGGCATGGTAGCACGTGCCTGTAATCCCAGATACTCGGGAGGCTGAGGCAGGAGAATCACTTGAACCCAGGAGGCGGAGGTTGCAGTGAGCTGAGATCCTGCCACTGCACTCTAGCCTGGGTGACAGAGGGAGACTCCATCTCCAAAGGAAAAAAAAAAAGAGAAAGTAAAATTTGTACTTCAATTCAGAGATTATAAACAATGTATACTTGACTTTGTGGCAGTGATCACTATTGTACAATAGTTACTTAAACTCAGGAGGCAGAGGCTGCAGTGAGCCAAGATAGCTCCACTGCACTCCAGCCTGGGTGACAGAGCGAGACTCTGTCTCAAAAAAAAAAAAAAAAAAAAGTTACTCACTCATTTGTTCTGCAGAATCTATTTATTGCTGTGTTCACAGAAAAGGAAGCATCAAGACGGCAAAGCTCTTTGATGAAAAGCCAGGCGTACTCACACACACAACTGAGAAAGTTCTGGAAGTAGGAGAAAACGTCTTTAAGGCATATAGGCTAAACTTATATAAATATTGTTAGTGTTTGCCAAAACAGGGATAATCTAGTAAAATCAGAGATACAAAGCCAGAACAGAGAATTGGTAAGTAAAAAATTGTTAAGAATGTATATTGGCTGGGCGCGATGGCTCATGCCTGTAATACTAGCACTTTGGGGAGGCTGAGGGGGGCAGATTGCTTGAGCTCAGGAGTTTGAGACCAGCCTGGGCAACCCTTTCACTACTGAAAATACAAAAAAAAAAAAAAAAACAAAAAAACAAAACTGGGCGTGCTGGTGCGCACGTGTGGTCCCAATTACCCTGGAGGCTAATGTGGAAGGATCGCTTGAGCCCAGAGCGTGGGGGTGGGGGTTGGGAGGCAAGGTTGCAGTGAGCCTGGATTGCACCACTGCACTTCAGCCTGGGTAACAGAGCGAGACCTTGTCTCAAAAAAAAAAAAAGTATCAAAAGGCCTAGGAATTTGTTCTCCAGGTAAATCTGCCCTCCCTCATCTCTAACCTTTATGAAATCACCCAAATGGAGACATCACAGCAAGGCCCCGACAAGGAAATGACAGGAATGTAGGTGGATAAGGGACTGGAATAGTGCAGCACAACACTAACTACAGGTTTCAGCCCCAATGAGATTGCCCTCACTTCCGCCGCCAGCCACAAGTGTGGAGGTCCCCAGGCTACTCGCTCCTCTGACCAACTGGCTACTAATCTGGGGGGTACCCACAACCCCCTCGGGTTTGATAATTTGCTAGAACAACTCACCAAACTCAGGAGAATGTTATACTTACGATTACAGGCTTGTTACAAAGGATACAAATCAGGAGGACCAGACTAATGAAGACACACGTAGGGCGGGGTCTGGGCGGGTCTTCCATGCAGAGCTTCTGTGTCTTCTCTCTGTGAATCAGGTTGTGTCACCCTCCTGGCACATGGATGTGTTCACCAACCAGGAAGCTCCACCAAATTTTGGCGTCCAGAGTTTTCATTATATAGGTACAATTGGTTGACTCATTTGCCACCGAATTGAACGCAATCTCTAGTCCTCCCACCCTCCGTCGAGGTTGGGCTGGCTCTAAGGCCCAATCCTTTTATTATGTGATCTTTCTGATGACCAACCTCCCATCGTGAGTTCTCTCTTAGCATAAGCCCAGGTGTGATCCAAGGGGCTCATGAATAACAAAGATACTCATATTACTCAGGAGATTCCAAGGATTTAGTTTCCCTCCTAGGAACCAGGGACAAAGGGCAGTCAAATTCTTTATTGTTATCACAGAGACACAGTAATATAATATGATACAGCAGAAGAGAGGTGAAGAATGTTGCCATGCCTTGAGAAGCCTATCACAAGAGCTTTAAGGAATTCACACTTAAATATTAATAGGTACATTATGAAAGAAATCAGCCAAGTACAGTCTTTTCTTATTATGGAATCTAGTTATTGCAGGAATTGAAAAATTGATGTAATAAAGCCTAGAATGCAATAAAGGAATCGGCATTCAAGTAGATGAGAGAGGTTGGGGAATATGTCAAGATGCAAAAGTGAGAGAGCTGTCACAGTTTACTTACTCTGCAATCTCTGAGGATGGAACAGGATCAAAGATGAAGCCAGGAAGCACAGAGTAGTTTTCTTCCTCCCTAATCTCATCCCTTGTTTTCATTTGGCACTTTAAAAAATTTCCACATTTATATTCATATGGAATTGATTTTGAGTATAGAGAGATAATTCTAATTATTATTGTTTTTCAAATGTTAGCCAGTTGAACCATTTATCATAATCAAGGTGATCATATGGCTTATTTTCTTTGGCCTACAGAGATGATAAATTTGAATATATTTTAAAATATAAAACTATCTTTAAAATTTGAATATATTTGAATATGATACATTTGAATATATTTTAAAACATAGTGCTATCTTTGTACTCCTGGTTAGTCATGGTGCATTTTTTTTTAATACTTCATATTAAATTTTTACCTTCTGGATTGAGACACTAGAGTTCTTAAAGGTTCTTTCAGAAATTCTTCCTATATTCAGTATGCTACCAGAAAACCTCTTACAACTAACCTTACAGAAGATACTGTTTTCTTTGTACTTTGTCCAATATCAAAGGAAACCTCCAAGTTCCAAGGAGGTCAGGCTACTAATACCCACAAATGAATTCTGATGAGATCATTACACAATAAACAATAACTGTTGCTTATTACATGCTTACTTTGTACTAGGCAGGACTAAGATAAGTATTATTTAAGTTTTAAGATCATTCTTAATTTCTTGTCAAAAGTATACTGGTTTGCAAAGTAATGAATAAAATAAATCTTTAACAATATCCCTATAGTAAAGACAATGGTGAACTTCTTATGCCTCTTTTAAAAAACTCTGCTTATGATGACAATTTCAAACATACACAGAAGCCGTGAGTATATAATGAGTCTTGCTGTATCCATCACAAAGTTTTAAAAACTGTCAAAAGTTGACCATACTCACTTAATCTACTCCTACCACTTTTTCAGCTGGAGATCTTTTAAAGCAAATTCTACACATTGTACCATATCATCCATAAATTATTTTGCATTACATCCCATTCTTATTGAGTCCCTGCAAGCTGAGAGCCGACTGCCAAAGCACAATTCACTGTAAGAGATTCTGTGAAGGGTTAAAACAAACAGTCCAAATTCACAGTGCTGCAAATGTCTGTAATTGCATAATCTGCAAAATATATTCTTCAAGAAATCCTCTGTGCACTTGGTTTCCCTTAACTGAGTTTTTTTTTCTTCTTCAGACCAGATTAATTGATGAGAACTGACAAGCAGGGGAGAGAGGTGATGTTTAAGGTTATATATTTTGGCAAAAAATTATGAGTGTAAATTGTGCTTGTTTCTGATTAAGAGAGGTCCATTAATCAGAAAGTAGACTTGGCATCCTTGTAGAAAAATCACATAGCTTAACAAGAATTCATGACTCTGAATTGCTGCACAGACAGGTAGCATGAGTTCTTGGCAGGATTCTTTCAGCTGAGCTGTTTTCCATTAGAATGGTGTCTGATATGGTTTAGCTGGGTCTCCACCCAAATCTCATCTTGAATTGTAGTTCCCTTAATCCCCACGTGTCATGAGAGGGACCTGGTGGGAGGTAACTGAATCATGAGGGGCAGGTTTTTCCCATGCTATTCTTCTTGTGATAGTGAATAAGTCTCATGAGATCTCATGGTTTTATAAAGGTAGTTCTGCACACGCTCTTGCCTGCTGCCATGTAAGACATGCCTTTGCTCCTCCTTCATCTTCCACCATGATTTTGAGGGCCTCCTCAGCCATGTGGAACTGTGAATGCATTAAACCTCTTTTTCTTTATAAATTACCCAGTGTCAGGTATTTATTCATAGCAGTATGAAAACGGACTAATACGGCTGGGTGCAGTGGCTCATGCCTGTAATCCTAGCACTTTGAGAGGCCGAGGCAGGTGAATCATTTGAAGCCAGGAGTTCAAGATCAGCCTGGTGGTCAATATGGTGAAACCCCATCTCTACTAAACAAACAAACAAAAAAAATTAGCCATGCATGGCGGTTGGCGCCTATAATCCCAGCTACTTAGGAGGCTGAGGAAGGAGAATTGCTTGAACCTGGGAGGTGGAGGGTGCAGTGAACCGAGATTGTGCCACCGTACTCCAGCCTGGGTGACAGAGCAAGACTGTCTCAAAAATAAAAATAAAAAAAGAAAATGGATTAATACACTAAATTGGTACCAGTAAAGTGGGGTACTGCTATAAAGATACCTGAAAATGTGGAAATGGGTAACAGGCAGAGGTTAGAAGTTTAGAGGGCTCAGAAGAAGACACAAAAATGTGGGAAAGTTTGGAACTTCCTCAAGACTTGGAGGGCTCAGAAGACAGGAAAATGTGGGAAACTTTGGAACTTCCTAGAGACTTGTTGAATGGCTTTGACCAAAATGCTGACAGTGATATGGACAATATTTGTCCAGGCTAAGGTGGTCTCAGATGGAGATAAGGAACTTGTTGGGACCTGGAGTAAAGGTCACTCTTCCTATGCAAAGAGACTGGCGGTATTTTGCCCCTGCCCTAGAGATCTGTGGAACTTTGAACTGAAAGAAATGACTTAGGGTATCTGGCAGAAGAAATTTCTAAGTGGTAAAGCTGTTCAAGTGGAAGTAGAGCATAAAAGTTTGGAAAATTTGCAGTCTGACGATGCGATAGAAAAGAAAAACCCATTTTCTAGGGAGAAATTCAAGTTTGCTGCAGAAATTTGCATAAGTAAAGAGGAGTGGAATGTTAATCACTAAGACAATGAGGAAAATGTCTCCAGGGAATATTAGAGAACTTCATAGCAGCCCCTCCCATCACAGGCCTGGAGGCCTAGGAGGGAAAAAGGGTTTGTGGGCTGGGCTAAGGGACCCCTGCTCTATGCAGCCTGGGGACATGGTGCCCTACATCCCAGCTACTTTAGCTCCAGCTGTGGCTAAAAAGGGTCAACCTACAGCTCAGGCCATTGCTTCAGGGGTTCCAAGCCCCAAGCCTTGATAGCTTACAAATGTGCTGGGCCTGTGGGTGCACAGAAGTCAAGAATTGAGGTTTGAGAACCTCTGCCTAGGTTTCAGAGCATGTATGTAAATGCCTAGATGTCTAGGCAGAAGTTTGCTGCAGGGGTGGAGCCCTTATGGAGAACCTCTGCTAGGGCAGTGCAGAAGGGAAATGTGGGGTCAGAGCCCCTACACAGAGTTCCCCACCGGGGCATTGCCTGGTGGAGCTGTGAGAAGAGGGCCACCATCCTCCAAACCCCAGAATGGTAGATCCACCAACAGCTTACACCATGCACCTGGAAAAGCTGGAGACACTCAACACTAGCCCATGAAAGCAGCTGGAAGGGGGGCTGTACCCTGCAAAGCCACAGAGGCAGAACTACCCAATGCTGTGGGAGCCCATCTCTCGCATCAGCATGACCTGGATGTGAGACATGGAGTCAAAGGGGGAGCATTTTGGAACGTTAAGGTTTAATGACTGCCCTACTGTATTTCAGACTTGTATGGGGCTTGTGGCACCTTTATTTTGGCCAATGTATCCCATTGGAATGGGTGTATTTACCCAATGCCTGTACCCCCATTGTATCTAGGAAGTAACTAACTTGCTTTTGATTTACAGGCTCATAGGAAGAGGGACTTGCCTTGTCTCAGATGATACTTTGGAGTTGGACTTTTGAGTTAATGCTGAAATGAGTTAAGACTTTGGTGGACTGTTGAAAGGCATGATTGTGTGTTGAATTGTGAAGACATGAAATTTGGGAGGGGCCAGGGGAGGAATGATATGGTTTGGCTGTGTCTCCACCCAAATATCATCTTGAATTGTAGTTCCCATAATCCCCATGTGTCATGGGAGGGACTTGGTGGCAGGTAACTGAATCATGGGTGGCGGGTTTTTCCCATGCTATTGTCATGATAGTGAATAAGTCTTATGAGATCTGATGGTTTTATAAAGGGCTGTTCCCCTGAGCATGCTCTTGCCTGCTGCCATGTACAACATGCTTTTGCTCCTCCTTCACTTTCCACCATGATTATGAGGCCTCCACAGCCATGTGGAACTGTGAATCCATTAAATCTCTCTTCCTTCCTTCCCTTCCTTCCTTCCTTTCCTTCTTTCTTTCTTTCTTTTCTTTTCTTTTCTTTTCTTTTCTTTTCTTTTCTCTTCTCTTCTCTTCTCTTCTCTTCTCTTCTCTTCTCTTCTTTTCTTTTCTTTTCTTTTCTTTTCTTTCGAGTCTCACTCTGTCACCCAGGCTGGAGTGCAGTGGCATGATCTCGGCTCACTGCAACCTCCATCTCCTGGGTTCAAGTGATTCTCCTGCCTTAGCCTCCTGAGTAGCTGGGATTACAGGTGTGTGTCATCACAGCTGGCTAATTTTTGTATTTTTAGTGGAGACGAGGTTTCACCATGTTGGCCAGGCTGGTCTTGAAATTCTGACCTCAGGTGATCCGCCTGCCTCAGCCTCCCAAAGTGCTGGGATTACAGGCATGAGCCACGCGCCCAGCTCAGAATTATAAATTACCCAGTCTTGGGTATTTCTTCATAGCAGTATGAAAATGGACTAATACATTATCTCTTGGAAGTGAATGGCCAGAGTGAAAGAAACCAGAAAAAAAAAAAAAAAAGAAGAATACATACTATATGATTTCATTTATATAAAACTCTAGGAGAAGCAAATAATCTACAGTGACAGAAAGCAGATCAGTGAGTGTTTGAGAATGGGCATGGCAGGAGGGAAGGAAGTATAACGGGCATGAGAAAACTTTTGAGAGGTATGGATGTGTTCACTATCTTGATTGTGGTGACAGTTTCATAGTATACAAATACGACAAAACTGATCAAAGTGCACACTTTAAATCTGTGCAATTATGTCTCAATAATTTTTTTTTTTAAAGAATAGCCAAGGCCGGGTGCGGTGGCTCATGCCTGTAATCCCAGCACTTTGGGAGGCCGAGGCGGGCGGATCACGAGGTCAGGAGATCGAGACCATCCTGGCTAACATGGTGAAACCCCGTCTCTACTAAAAATACAAAAAATTAGCTGGGCAAGGTGGCAGGCGCCTGTAGTCCCAGCTACTCGGGAGGCTGAGGCAGGAGAATGGCGTGAACCCCAGGGGGCGGAGCCTGCAGTGAGCTGAGATTGCGCCACTGCACTCCAGCCTGAGTGACAGAGCAAGACTCCCTCTCAAAAAAAATAAAAATAAAAAAATAAAGAATAGCCAAGTGGTAGAAAGCCTGCAGATGCTGTTCCAGAGCTGTGCCCACAGCTCTGGGCCCAGGTCACAGGTATAACCTGCAATAAGAAGAGACAAGAGTCTGAGGGCTGACCATCTGTGGGCCCACAAGTTAAGGAAACCAAAGTTTGGGTGCACAAATCATTACTGGAAAGGGATCCTGATCCAGTCACTTCTCAAGAGAGGGTTCTTAGACATTGTGCAAGAAAGAATTTGGGGCGAGTCCACAGAGTAAAGTGAAAGCAAGTTTATTAAGAAATAAAGGAATAAAAGAGTGGTTACCTCATAGGTGGAGTGGCTCTGAGGGCTGCTAGTTGGCTATTTTTATGATTCTTTCTTTCTTTTCCTTTTTTTTTTTTTTGAGACACAGTTTTGCTCTTGGAGTGCAATGGCGCGATCTCAGCTTATTGCAACCTCTGCCTCCTGGGTTTAAGCGATTCTCCTGCCTCAGCCTCCTGAGTAGCTGGGTTTACAGGCATGCACCACTCCCAGCTAATTTTGTATTTTTAGTAGAGATGGGGCTTCACCATGTTGGTCAGGCTGGTCTCCAACTCCTGACCTGAAGTGATCTGCCTGCCTTGGCCTCCCAAAGTGCTGGGACTACAGGCATGAGCCACAGCGCCTAGCCAATTATTTCTTAATCATATGCTAAACAAGGGGTGGGGTATCCATGAATTTTCTGGGAAAGGGATGGAGATTTCCTGGAACTGTGGGTTCTTCTTCCTTTTAGATCATATAGGGTAACTCTGGGACATTGCCATGACATTTATAAACTATCTTGGTGCTGGTGGGGGGTGACTTTTGGCATGCTAATGCATTATAATTAGCATGTAATGGGCAGTGAGGATGACCAAAAGTCACTTTTGTCACCATCTTGGTTTGGGCCGGCTTCTTTACTGCATCCTATTTTATCAGCGAGGTCTTTGTGGCCTGTATCTTGTGCTGACCTCCTATATCATCCTGTGACTAAGAATTCCCAACCTCCTGGGAATGCAGCCCAGCAGGTCTCAGCCTCATTTTACCCAGCCCCTATTTAAGATGGAGTTGCTCTGATTCAAACATCTCCGACAAAACCACTGATTGGGTATAGAGTCCCAACCAGCCAGTTATTGAAATTTTGTTTTTTTGTTATAACAGCCTAGCCTAATCTAACTAAAGAAAGGGGGATCAGGAAGCAACTTTATTTTCACTTCACCGTGTCCCTTTACATCCATTTTGTGGGATTTCTTCTCCTTTTGCCCCAAGATGAAATTTGGAGCAAGCCCCATGAACTTTCTAGTCATTTGTAGGTAATCTAAGGTCATTGGGTTACTCCAATTCCCCAAGGAGTTTAATAAGTAATTAAATGGTCCAATCTCATGTAATAGTAGAAACTTTAAACTTTATTTAAATTTGAGATTTCTTCCCGTACTTTATGCTATTTACAGACCAGCCACCCTCAATGGGAATTGAGGTGTGTGGTGACCTCTGATTTCCCACTTTGCGCTTTGTGGCAGAAATTGCAGTTATCACCAAATATTCATTCTCCTCTTCTTCCTGATTAGTAAGACTCCCAAATTTTTGCTGGACTTATGGCCAGCCTGAAACAAGACTACATTTTCCAGTATCCCTTGCAGCCAGGTGTGGCTGTGAGACTAACTTTTGGCCAACGGATCTGAATCAGAACAACATAAGCAACCTTTTGTTCTGCCCTCAAACAGCATGGGTGGCATTAGTTTCCCCTTTCCTTCTTTCCCTGGCTGGAATGCTGACCCAGCAGATGTGGGGAGCCATTTCAACCTTTCAAGAGAGAGCAGCCCTCGATGCAATGGCAGAGCAGCAAGACAGAAGGAGCTGGGGTCTCCAACACCGCGGAGTCACTCTATCCAGCCTAAGACTCCTGATGTTGGAACTGTTAATGAGAAACACACTTTGTCTTTTGACATACAGTTTTTCTCTCAGCTGCTGAACCTGGATTCTACCTACACAGGTTCATTGTGTATGCATGCTTCTATCCCTCCTCCCTCATCTTGCTAACTTGGACCCTGGACCTCTCCAGGGTTCCAGTGGTGAGAGGGAGGGGCCAGGAGGTATCATTGCACTAGAATTACTGTGAGATGGCAGAAGCACTGCCTGGGTCATTAGGCATAGCTGATTCTTCCTTTCATCAGGCACTTCCGTTGATTTTTCTGAGCTAACACCTTCCCTTTGCTACGATTTCTCATCACCTAATTCCCTGAGGTGGACAAATGCCCTTCCTTAGGCTGGTCAACTATATTTCTTTCTGCAGCTTCTAAGAGTCTGACGATTCATCCCTCTATTAGGATCACCAAACCCCTTCAGATGACCCTTTTAGACAGAGTCTAATGCCATCCCCTGCCATCTCTCTCTTATGGTGGCCCCACCTGTGGTCCACAGGAAACATGAATCCAGTGCCCCCGGCAATTGCGGAAGGCTGGCAGCCCTGAAACCCAGCTACCTCCCTTGTTCCACCATCAGGGCAGGTAGCCAGACTCCTGGTGTTCTTTTTTGTTGTGTGTGTGTCTTTGTGTGTATATGTGTTTTTCCATTTCCAGAAATGAACCAGCTAGCTGCTCACCCTGTCCTCCAAATTGCAGGAACATATATTCAGCTCCCTGACGGGTACCACCAAAGGCCCTTTCCTGGGGCTCGAAGAAATACCCTCACTGAATTCAATTTCCTCAAGTAATTGAAGATCTTCCCCTTTCCCCTTTCCTGTTCCACTCGATGGCCCCCACTTTATGGGGACACTCCCAGGCCGGGGACTGCAGAGTTGCTCTGCTACTTTTGGACTCTGGTCCATCTCATTTTTTCCCCCCCTCTCTTCCATTTAAGAGGAGATTCAACCTTTTTAGAAGCTCACTGTTTTGAGTAAGAGCCACTGTTTGCCAGATCCCAGCCCCCTCTGCCTCTACCATCTGCCTCATCTCTTCTATAGCTGCAGAGGAATTAACATCCTCGGAAGATCTAGTGAAGCTGCCTTCACTTTCTCTTTCTGCCTTCATATTTCTTTTTCAGCCCACCTCAACCTGAGGCCACAGGCAGCTGGGCTCCACCAGTGCCACTGCCACCATCCCAAAAGGCCAGGGGCTCTCATCCCAGTAGTAGTAATTAATCTGTCATGCACAATTCATAGTATTTCAACATTAGGTTCCAAATAAGTAACCTGAGCATCCCTGGGTCTTGCTAACCTATGGGAATGTGCAAATGGGGCCACCTTAAGATAGTAACAACATTTCAGTGTCTCCTTCTCTGCCCAAGTATTTCTGGGGGTCTGAGGGAAATCTCACTCGTGCTCCTAAATCCAGGCACCCAGGCCAACAGCAACTCTCCATCGCCTGCTGAGCATTCCCCCAGGGAACCGGAGCCCTTCAGGCATCAATTCTGCATTGGGCAGAGCAGTGTCTATGTCCAGTGGGGAAATGCCTTTCCCCTCTTTTGTGTTCCTGTTCACGAAGGGGCCACCCAAGCAATGCTGGTGGGCTCCAGCATTGTGCAGAGCTTGTAGAACCACAGCTTCTATGTTGACCTTCAGCTTTCTTTTTGCTTCGGATGGAGGCAGGACTGGACTAAATGTGGTGACAAACAACATTCATTTACTCTTTTATTCAACACATATTTCCTAAATTCCTTATCCATGCTAGCCACATGATGAACATGATAAACAAGATAAACGTGGTCTCTGTGCCCATGGAGTTTATGGTTTGGTACAAGATCAAAAAGCGGTATACACATACACAAACACGAACAAAAAAGCAGTTATGATTTAATGTCCAAGACTTTGTTATTGGTTCAAGTTTATCATGCATGGATGCTTCTTCTGCTTGGATGAGTTTTGTGCGTGCAGCTTGTCAACTCTCAGGCAAACAAACAGACCCTGTCAACCCACTGCGACCTCACTGCTCCCGGGCTGCCTGCTGGGGCCCAGTGAGGGAGGTTAACTCTTACTGTGCTAAAGTGTCTGATTTGTTTCAACACTCTAACAACCAAAGAAAACACTGATTGTATCTCTTAAAGAGCTTTTCTTCCTTCCCCATTCCACACTATGAATTTATGAATTCCAAACTTCACACTTTATGTAAATTTGAAGCTTCTGGCCAAGCGTGGTGGCTCATACCTGTAATCCTAGCACTGTGGGAAGCCAAAGCGGATGATTGCTTGAGCTCAGGAGTTCAAGACCAGCTTGGACAATGTGGTAAAACCCCGTCTCTACCAAAAATACAAAAATTAGCCAGGCATAGTGGCACACGCCTGTAATCGTAGCTACTGGGAGGCTGAGGAAGGAGGATCACTGGAGCCCAAGAAGTCAAGGCTGCAGTGAGCCATGATCATACCACTGCACTCCAGCCTTGGAGACGCAGCAAGACCCTGTCTCAAAAAAATAAAATAAAAATAAAATAAATAACATTTGAGGCTTCTTCACTTACTTTGTGCCATTTACAGGCCAGCTGCTCCTGGTGAGAATGGAGGTGTGTAGTGATCTCTCACTTCCCACTGTGTGCTTTGTGGCAGAAACTGCTGTTGTCCCCAAGTATCCATTCTCCTCTTCTTCCTTACTAATGAGACTCCCAAATTTTTGCTGGACTTGTGGCCATCCTGAATCAAGACTACATTTCCCAGTATCACATGCTGTGGGACTAGCTTTTGGCCAACATGATCTGAATCAAATGATGTGAGCAACCTTTTGTTCTGCCCTCAAATGGCAGGGGTGATGGCAAAAATTCTGGCAGCAAAAATGGATGATGTGGCCAGGCATGCTGGCTCACACCTATAATCCCAGCACTTTGGGAGGCTGAGATGGGTGGATCATCTGAGGTCAGGAGTTTGAGACCACCCTGGCCAACATGGTGAAACCCCATATCTACTAAAAATACAAAAATGAGCCAGATGTGGTGGCACCCACCTGTAGTGCCAGCTACTCAGGAGGCTGAGGCAAGAGAATCACTTGAACTCAGGAGGCGGAGGTGGCAGTGAGAAGAGATTATGCCACTGCACTCTAGCCTGGGCAACAAAGCGAGACTCTGTCTCGAAAAAAAAAAAAAAAAAAAGGATGGTGAAGGCCTATATATTAGTCTGTTTTCATGCTGCTGATAAAGACATGCCTGAGACTGGGTCATTTATAAAGAAAAAGGGGTTTAATGGACTCACAGTTCCATGTGGCAGGGGAGGCCTCACAAGCATGGCAGAAGGCAAAAGGCACATCTTACATGGTGGCAGACAAGAAGAGAATGAGAGACCAAGTGAAAGGGATTTCCCCTTATAAAACTACCCGATCTTGTGGGACTTACTACCACAAAAACAGTATGGGGGAAACCACTCCCTGTGATTCAATTATCTCCCATCAGGTCCCTCCCACAACACATGGGAATTATGGGAACTACAACTCAAGATGAGATTTGGGTGGGGACACAGCCCAACCATATCATTCTGCCCCAGCCCCTCCCAAATCTCATGTCCTCACATTTCAAAACCAATCATGCCTTCCCAACAGTCTTAACTCATTTCAGCATAAACTTAAGAGTCCACAGTCCAAAGTCTCATCTGAGACAAGGCAAGTCCCTTCCAACTATGAGGCTGCAAAATCAAAAGCAAGTTAGTTACTTCCTAGATATAGTGGGGGTATAGGCATTGGGTAAATACAGCTATTCCAAATGGGAGAAATTGGCCAAAACAAAGGGGCTACAGTCCCCATGCAAGTCCAAAATCCAGTGGGGCAGTCAAATCTTAAAGCTCCAAAATTATCTCCATTGACTCCATGTCTCACATCCAGGTAACACTGATACAAGAGATGGGTTCCCATGGCCTTGGGCAGCTCTGCCCCTGTGGCTTTACATGGTACAGCCCCTCTTCTGGCTGCTTTCATGGGCTGGTGTTGAGTGTCTGTTGTTTTTCCAGGCACACAGTGCAAGCTGTGGGCGGATCTACCATTCTGGGGTCTGGAGGATGGTGGCCCTCTTCTCACAGCTCCACTAGGCAGTGCCCCAGTGGAGACCCTGCATGGGGGCTTCAACCTCCCATTTTCCTCCCGCAGTGCCCTAGCAGAGGTCCTCCGTGAGAGCTCCACCGCTGCAGCAAACTTCTGCCTGGACATCCAGGTGAAATCTAGTTGGAGGTTCCCAAACCTCAATTCTTGACTTCAGTGCACCCACAGGCTCAACACCATGTGGAAGCTGCCAAGGCTTGGGGCTTGCACCCTCTGAAGCCATGACCCAAGCTGTACCTTGGCCCCTTTTAGCCATGGCTGGGATGCAGGCACCAAGTCTCCAGGCTGCACACAGCAGGGGGGCCCTAGGCCTGGCCCACAAAACCATTTTTTCTCCCTAGTCTCCAGGTCTGTGATGGGAGGGGCTGCTGCAAAGGTCTCTGACACGCCCTGGAGACATTTACCCCATTGTCTTGGTGATTAACATTTGACTCTTCATTACTTATGCAAACTTCTTCAGCTGGCTCGAATTTCTCCTCAGAAAATGATTTTTTTGGCTGGGCGTGGCGGCTCATGCCTGTAATCCCAGCACTTTGGGAGGCTGAGGCAGGTGGATCACTTGAGTTCAGGAGTTCGAGACGAGCCTGGGCAAAACCCCATCTCTACAAAAAATACAAAAATTAGCTGGGCACGGTGGCTCACGCCTGTAATCCCAACACTTTGGGAGGCCACGGCAGGCAGATCACTTGAGGTCAGTAGTTCAAGACCAGCCTGGTCAGCCAACATGATGAAACCCTGTCTCTACTAAAAATACAAAATTAGCTGGACGTGGTGGCATGTGCCTGTAATTCCAGTTACTTGGGAGGCTGAGGCAGGAGAATTGCTTGAACCTGGGAGGCAGAGGTTGCAGTGAGCCAAGATCATGCCACTGCACTACAGCCTGGGTGACAGAGCTAGACTCCATCTCAAAAACAAACAAACAAAAAAGAAATGGGTTTTTATTTTCTATCACATCGTCAGGCTGCAAGTTTTCTGAACTTTTATGCTTTGTTTCAGTTTTAAAACTGAATGCTTTTAACAGCACCTACATCACCTCTTGAATGCTTTGCTGCTTAGAAATTTCTTCTGCCAGATACCCTAAATCATCTCCCTCAAGTTCAATGTTCCACAAATCTCTAGGTCAGGGGCAAAATGCCACCAGTCTTTGTGGTAAAACATAGCAAGAGTCACCTTTACTCCAGTTCCCAACAAGTTCCTCATCTCCATTTGAGACCACCTCAGCCTGTATTTCATTGTCCATATCATTATCAGGATTTTGGTCAAAGCCATTCAACAAGTCTCTAGGAAGTTCCATACTTTCCCACACTTTCCTGTCTTCTGAGCCCTCCAAACTGTTCCAGTTGCTACCTGTTACCCAGTTCCAAAGTTGCTTCCACATTTTTGGGTTACTTTACAGCAGCATCTCACTCCCATTACCAATGTACTGTATTAGTCCCTTTTCATGCTACTGATAAAAACATACCCAAGACTGGGTAATTTATAAAGAAAAAGAAGAGATTTAATGGACTCACAGTTCCACATGGCTGGGGAGGCCTCACAATCACAATTGAAGGCAAAAGCCATGTCTTACATGGTGGCAGACAAGAACAGAATGAGAGACTAAGTGAAAGGGGTTTCCCCTTATAAAACCATCAGATCTCATGAGACTTATTCACTACCATGAAAACAGTATAGGGGAAACCACCCCTGTGATTCAGTTATCTCCCACCAGGTCCCTCCTGCAACACATGGGAATTATAGGAGCTACAATTCAAGATGAGATTTGGCTGGGGACACAGCCAAACCATATCAGTTTATAATCCCAGCACTTTGGGAGGCCAAGACAGGATTATCACTTGAGGCCAGAAGTTGGAGACTTACTTGGGCAACATAGGGAGACTTCCTCTCTAAAAGCAAACAAAAAACCAAGTTATCCAGGCATGGTGGCATGTTCCTGTAGTCCTAGCTGTTCCAGAGGCTGAGTTGGAAAGATCACTTGAGCCCAGGAGTTCAAGGCTGCAGTGAACCGTGATTGTGCCACTGTACTCCAGCCTAGGCAACAGAGCGAGGCCCTCTTTCTCTCTCTCTCTTTTTTTAAACAAGGAAGAAAAAAGAAAAGAAAATAGGGTGGTGAGGAGGCTGGCCAAAGTGGTGATAACCTCGTGCACTAGGTCCTAGCAGCTGGTAGCAGGGGAGCCAGGAGGTGTAGCACTCTGCCTGGTAAAGCAGTCTGTCAGGGTCTGTTTGCCTGAGAGTTGACAGGCTGCAAGCACAAAAATATAAAAGGGGGCCAGGGACTTGCTAATCTTGCCGGAGAGTCGGCGCAGCTCAGTGCAAGGACTTGGGAAGGCAGGGAACTTTGAGAGAAGGTAAAAAGGAGGTGGATTCATGGAGAGGGAAGGGGAAAGTTGAGGGTTGGGGAGGTGTGGTGAGGAGCTGAGATCTTGGAGAGACATTCTTCGTTGGCCTAGGGACACCACATAAACACCTCTGTGCATGGTGGGAGGGACCAGCTCCTCCCCAAACACTGTTTAGATTTTGGCCTTGAAAACCATGACTACTAACGTTCCTTGGGTTTTCTGTGAGTGTGACCAGTCTCCTCAGCTCCCAGCTGGCACATAAAGGAGATGTGTTCTTTTCTTGCCGATGTGAGGCTACAGGATCTCATGAGGAACATCCCATGAACAAACAGTACGGCTGAGCCCTCACCTGCGTCTCATCCTAATCTTGGTCCTCCCCCAGCACACTCCCAGCTCTATCGCCTGGAGTTACAGACAAACCCGCAGACCAATGTGAAAAGCCAATTGCCCAGAGAAACCCAGCAGAGTCTTCAGCTACGCCTGACAGTCATCCGGGGTTAAACACCAGCCTGGAATTTTAGCTTCCTGTCCAGGAAAAACCAAATACATAAATCACTTCTCTCTCTCTCTCTTTTTTTTAATGGAGTCTTGCTCTGTCACCCAGGCTAGAGTGCAGTGGTGTGAGCTCAGCTTACTGCAACCTCTGCCTCCCAGGTTCAAGCGATTCTCCTGCCTCAGCTTCCTGAGTAGCTGGGATTACAGGCGCGCACCACCATGCCTGGCTAATTTTTGCATTTTTAGTAGAGACAGGGTTTCACCACGTTGGTCAGGCTGGTCTGGAACTACTGGCCTCGTGATCCACCTGCCTTGGCCTCCCAAAGTGCTGGGATTACAGGTGTGAACCACCACGCCCGGCCTAATAATTCATCTTACTACTAGAATTTCAGGCTTCCTTTTTAATTTGCTTGCTTTCTTGTTGGTCTGTGTCTTGGAACATAGGAACTTTCAATCCCTCCAATATGGGCTCCATCCAAATCTCAAGTTGAACTGTAATTCCCAGTGTTGGAGTGTTGGAGGAGAGGCCTGGTGGGAGGTGATTGGATCATTGGGGCAGATTTCCCCCTTGCTGTTCTCGTGATAGTGAGTGAGTTCCCACGAGATCTGGTTGTTTGAAAGTGTGTAGTAGAGCCGGGCGTGGTGGCTCACGCCTGTAATCCCAGCATGTTGGGAGGCTGAGGTAGGCGGATCACCTGAGGTCGGGAGTTCGAGACCAGCCTGACCAATATGGAGAAACCCCGTCTCTACTAAATACAAATTTAGCCGGCATGGTGGCACATGCCTATAATCCCAGCTACTTGGGAGGCTGAGGCAGGAGAATCACTTGAACCTGAGAGATGGAGGTTGCTGTGAGCCGAGATCACGCCATTGCACTCCAGCCTGGGCAACAAGAGCAAAACTCTGACTCAAAAAACAAACAAACAAACAAAACAAAACAAAAAAACAAAGTGTGTAGTACCTCCCCCTTCACTTTCCCTCTCTCCCACTCCACCGTGTGAAGAAGGTGTTTGCTTCCCCTTGCCCTTCTGCCCAGATTGTAAGTTTCCTGAGGCCTCCCCAAGCATGATTCTTGTACAGCCTGTGGAACTGTGAGCCAATTAAACTTCCTTTCTTCATAAATTACCCAGTCTCAGGTAGTTCTTTATAGCAGTGCTAATACACCCTGTTACAGGACTAATACACCTTCCCTCTGCTAAGTGTCTATTGATCTGAAAACACATGCTATGAAACATTAAAACGCTACCTGAGACCATGTGTTTCTTTTATCAAGTGAGAGATTCCTTTATAATTTGGATAATTTCACTCCGTTTGCAAGTAGGATGCTCTAGAACTGATGTTATAAAGTCAGTTTAATGATTTAAATCCCATTGTGGAGAAAATAGATCTCCGCAGAAAAGTACATCCCTGCCCTTTCCCAGCTCCCCAGTCAAGGGGGGGCTTCCTGCTGAGCCTGGAGAATGCCTCTAAGAAGGTGACTAATGTACCATATCTGGCCCCTAGTGTGGGCAGCAGGCAAGTAGTCAGGTGCCTTCTCAAGTGGAGAAAGTTGAACGCTATTTTCCAGAGACATTGGATGTGAGGGTGATCTGGCTATGACATCTGTCACCTCAGTGATTGCCACTGTTGATTCTGCTGATCTAGCTGGCTAGGTGGTGTCCCCTTCCTCCCTCACCACTCCATGTGCATCCCTCCTGAAGCTGTGTGCTCAGTTGAAGAGGAGGACCATCCCCAATAGAGGAGGACCAGTCTTCGGCTAAGGGTATACGAGTAGCTGCGCTCCCCTGCTAGAATCTCCAAACAAGCTCTCAAGGTCCAGAGACAAGATGTGAACTTCATGTCTCAATTGATGATCACGTGGTTGTGTGGTGGTGCAGATTGTGTTTTTGATGTGCAGCAGGATTCGGGCAGTACAGAGGATGATGTCAGCATATCACCATCATCCTCAGGTGGGGCAGATCATTATGAAGTCCTTGCCTCTGGTTTCCCTGGAGTCTAGGTGAGAGGTGCATGAGATATCCCTTGGGTACCTCCCTCCTCCCCTCAAGGTGAATGTTTCATCAACAAAATCAAGCTAATAGAAGTCTCAGGTTGTCACTTTTGGTGTCTTGAATAGGATATTTGTGTGAGAGCCCCTTTGATTAACCCATTGCCAGCCCCCTCCCACCCTGACCTCTGAACCTTCACAATATCCATCCCTTACCCTCCCCGCTGACCAAGTGGCTCTGGATCCCAGTCAGGCGCTAAAAATCTGCTATTTGTGCTTAGGTTAGCTTTACCCATAGCTGAATGGCTCTGAGGTTCACGGTGGAAGATCTCTAAGGGGGACAGTTTTGCTGCTCCTGGGATGGAATAGGCATGATGGTGATCCATCCACCTGCAAGTTCTGGTTTCCCAGTACGTATATGATTTAGAATTAGAAGCACATAATACATAGCCTTGTTACTGGCACCCCTTCCCCTAATCTTGCTTTCCCTTTGTATTAGGCCATTCTTGCACTGCTATAAAGAAATACTTGAGACTGGGTAATTTGTAAGAAAAGAGGTTTAATTGGCTCACGGTTCTGTAGGCTGTACAGGAAGCATAGCAGCATCTCTTTCTGGGGAGGCCCCAGGAAGCTTTCAATCATGGTGGAAGGTGAAGGGGGAGCAGGGATCTCACATAGCGGGAGCAGGAGTGAGAGAGAGTGATGGTAAAGGTGCTACACCTTTTTAAATGACCATATATCACAGGAACTCACTCACTATGGTGAGTACAGTGCTAAAGGGGATGGTACTAGACCATTTATGAGAAATCTGCCCCCACGATCCAATCACCTCCCACAAGAACCCACCTCCAACATTGGGGATTACATTTCAATATAAGATTTGGGCAGGGACACGGATTCAAACTGTATCACCCTTCATATCATCCTTTATAATACTATGCCAATCTGATCATGGCCAGGTTCAACTTCTTTTTTAAAGGCTTCCCAGAGACTACTGAATCTTATGACCCAAATCTCTTTGCATGGCAGACAACTTGCTGAAGAAAGCCTGTCTGGCTGGGTTCAGTGGCTCACACCTGTAATCACAGCACTTTGGGAGGCCTATTCAGTTTGCGCCTAGGAGTTCAAGACCAGCCAGGGCAACAAAGAGAGACCACTGTTTAAAAAAAAAAAAAAATTAGCCAGGCATTGGGGTACATGCCTATAGTCCCAGCTACTGAGGAGGCTGAGGTGAGGGGATCACTTGAGCCCAGGAGGTTGAGGCTGCAGTGAGCTGAGATCACATCACTGTACTCCAGCCTTAGTGTCAGAGTGATACCCTGTCTTGGAAAAAAAAATAAAAAAGAAAGAAAGCCTGTCTGATTTCACGAAAGGTTTTTGCAGGACACGCTTTTAGTTTCCACAAAACAGCCACCCTCTACTTCCTTACTGGCAAAGCTTTCATGAATATTATTTATTTGCCATTTCAGTGCTGCTTTCTCAGATATAGGCATACCTTGGAGATATTGCGGGTTGCGGGCCCAGTTCCAGTTCATCACAATAAAGGGAATATCTCGGTAAAGTAAGTCACTAAGTTTTTGTTTTCCTAGTGCACATAAAAGTTATGCTTACACTATATTATGGTCTATTACGTGTGCAATAGCATTATGTCTTAAAGAAGTACATACCTTAATTTTAAAATACTTTATTGCTAAAAAATGATAATGATTATCTGAGCCTTCGGAGAGTTATAATCCTTTTGTGGGTGGAAGGTGTGTTGCTGTCTGATCAGAGTGGGGGCTGCTGAAGCTTAAGTGGCTATGACAATTTCTTAAATTAAGACAACAACGAAGTTTGCCACATCGATTCACTCTTCCTTTTGTGAGAGATTTCTCTGTAGCATGTGATGCTGTTTGATACATGTTACCCACAGTAAAACTTCTTTTGAAATTGGAGTCAATTCTCTCAGACCCTGCTGCTTCTTTATTAACTAAGTTTATGTAATATTCTAAGTCCTTTGTTGTCATTTCAACAATGTTCATAGCATCTTCAACAGGAGTAGATTCCGTCTCAAGAAACCACTTTCTTTGCTCATCCACAAGAAGCACTTCCTCATCTATTCAAATTTTATCATGAGATTGCAGCAATTCAGTCACATCTTCAGGCTCCACTTCTAGTTCTCTGGCTTTTTCTACCACATCTGCAGTTACCGAAGTCAGGAACCCCTCAAAAGTCATTCATGAAGGTTTGCACCAAACTTCTTCCAAACTTTTGTAAATGTTGATATTTTGACCTCCTCCCGTGAATCAAAAGTGTTCTTTTTTTTTTCTTTCTCTCTCTCTTTTTTTTTTTTTTTGAGACAGAGTCTTACTCTTGTTGCCCAGGCTGGAGTGCAGTGGTGCGATCTCAGCTCACTGCAACCTCTGCCTCCCAGATTCAAGCAATTCTCCTGCCTCAGCCTCCCAAGTAGCTGGGATTACAGGCCTCTGCCACCAGGCCTAGCTAATTTTTGTATTTTTAGTAGAAATGGGGTTTCACCATGTTGGCCAGGCTGGTTTCAAACTCCTGACCTCAGGTGATCCACCTGCCTCGGCCTCCCAAAGTGCTAGGATTATAGGAGTGTGTCACCATGCCTGGCTAATTTTATATTTTTAGTAGAGATGGGGTTTCACCATGTTGGCCAGGCTGGTCTGGAACTCCTAACCTCAGGTGATCCACCCACATCGGCCTCCCAAAGTGCTGGGATTACAGGTGTGAGCTACCGTGCTCAGCTCACAAGTGTTCTTAATGGCATCTAGAATGATGAATGCTTTCCAAAAGATTTTCAATGTATTTTGCCCAGATATGTCAGAAAAATCACTATCCATTGCAGCTATAACCTTACAAAATTTATTCTTAAATAATAAGACTTGAAAGTTGAAATCACTCCTTGATCCATAGGCTGCAGAATGGACACTGTGTTACCAAGCATGAAAACAACATTTATCTCCTTGTATCTCTGCATCAGAGCTCTTGGGTGGCCAACTACATTGTCAATGAGCAGTAATATTTTGAAAGAAATCTTTTTTTTCCTGAGCAGTAGGTCTCTCAACAGTGGGCTTAAAATATTCAACAAACCATGCTGTAAACAGATATGCTGTCATCCAAGCTTTGTTGTTCCATTTATAAAACACAGGCAGAGTAGATTTAGCA
Source organism: Homo sapiens (assembly GCF_000001405.40). NCBI lineage: Eukaryota > Metazoa > Chordata > Mammalia > Primates > Hominidae > Homo > Homo sapiens. Next base: position 2,211,992 of record NT_167247.2, read on the forward strand.
TAATTCTTAAGAGCCAGAGGGTTTTCAGAGTGGTAAATGAGGATTAGCTTCAACTTAAAGCCATCAGCTATATTAGCCTCTAACAAGAGAGTCAGACTGTCCTTTGAAGCTTTGAAGCCAGGCAGGCATTGACTTTTCCTCTGTAGCTATGAATGTCCTAGATGGCCTCTTCTTCCAATATAAAGCTATTTTATCTACATGGAAAATCTGTTGTTTAGTGTAGTCACCTTCACCAATTATCTTGGCTAGATCTTCTGGATAACTTGATGCAGCTTCTTCATCATCACTTGCTGCTTCACCTCGCACTTTTATGTTATGGAGCTGGCCTTCTTTGGTTTGGGTGGCAAGGAGAGAAGGTTGGGGTTTGTTTTTGACATACAAATCACTTTTTAAAACTTCAACAATAACAAATTAATACTGTGTTTGTGTGTGTATGTATGTGTGTGTGTATGTGTTTAAGAGAGATAGAAAATAAATGTTTCTTATTGTTTGAAGCCACTTACTTTTGGGGCAATTTATTATGCAGCAATAGATAACAAACACAATGGATTTTCACCAAATTTTAAGGTTTGTTTTTTTTAATTAAAAAATGACTTAAAATATATGCTATGTGGCATACAGCGTATCTAATTTAGTGGTTCTGTGGTATCACCTCAAAGAAATTAGCAGTTTTACACCAGAGCAAATTAAAGTGATGTATAATGTGAGGCTTGGAAAGATAGTCTATGCCTTTTAAGATATTGTGAATATAGAAAACAAACAGAAATTGCAAGTAGGAACCTTATATAGGAAGTTATAACTGTGAGCACTTCAAATTACAATAACTAATTTGCCATCCGGCTGCTTCTTACATGGGCAACTCCATAGAACCATTTTAAGGCTCATTACAAACATACTTATTTATGTCAGTTGGTAACCGGGAACAACATAGGGTTCAGCTAGTCTTTGACACAAAAATATCATTAATTTGTTGTGGGAAGTCAGGGACCCTGAATGGAGGGACCAGCTGGAGCCAAGGCAGAAGAACATAAATTGTGAAGATTTCATGGACATTTAGCAGTTCCCCAAATTAATACTTTTATAATTTCTTACACCTGTCTTTACTGCAATCTCTGAACATAAATTGTGAAGATTTCATGGATATTTATCACTTCCCTAATACTCTTATAATTTCTTATGCCTGTCTTTAATCTCTTAATCCTATTATCTTCATAAACTGAGAATGTACGTCACCTCAGGACCACTATTGTACAAATTGGTTGTAGAACATGTGTGTTTGAACAATATGAAATCTGATTGTAAAACATGTGGGTTTGAACAATATGAAATCAGTGCACTCTGAAAAAGAACAAAGTAACAGCAATTTTGAGGTAACAAGAAAAGATAACCATAAAGTCTGACTGCTTGCAGGGTTGGGCAGAATAGAGCCATATTTTTCTTCTTGCAGAAAGCCTATAAACAGATGTGCGAGGAGAAATATCGCTGAATTCTTTTCCCAGGAAGGAATAACCCTGGGGAAGGAATGCATTCCTCGGGGGAGGTCTATAGATGGCTGCTCTGGGAGTGTCTGTCTTATGTGGTTGAGATAAGGACTGAAATATGCCCTGGTCTCCTGCAGTACCCTCAGGCTTACTAGGATTGGGAAATTCCAGCCTGGTAAATTCTAGTCAGACCGGTTCTTTGGTCTCGAACCCTGTTTCCTGTTAAGATGTTTATCAAAACAATACGTGCACAGCGGGACATAGACCCTCATCAGTAATTCTAATTTTGCCTTCGCTTTGTGATCTTTATTGCCCTTCGAAGCATGTGATCCTTGTGGCTTACTCCCTGTTCGTACACCCCTCCCCTTTTAAAATCCCTAATAAAAACCTGCTGGTTTTGCAGCTCGGGGTTGTCATCACGGTCCTACCAGTATGTGATCTCACCGCTGGAGGCCCAGTTGTAAAATTTCTCTCTTTGTACTGTTTCTCTTTATTTCTCAGACCAGCCGACACTAAGGGAAAATAGAAAAGAACCTACATTGAAATACTGGGGGCTGGCTCCCTCTATAATTTGTCTTCATACTTCATGGGGTTTTATGAAGGTCAAAGTAAATAATGTGAGGTTTTGGCAACACAAAAGAACTATACAGATGTATCACTGTGATTATATATCAATCAAGAAAGGTCAGCCAGGCGTGGTGGCTCACGCCTGTAATCACAGCGCTTTGGGAGGCTGAGGCAGGCAGATCACGAGGTCAGGAGATCGAGACCATCCTGGCTAACACGATGAAACCCTGTCTCTACTAAAAATACAAAAAATTAGCTGGATGTGGTGGCACGTGCCTGTAATCTCAGCTACTTAGCAGGCTGAGGCAGGAGAATTGCTTGAACCTGGGAGGCGGAGGTTGCAGTGAGCCGAGATCATGCCACTGCACTCCAGCCTGGCAACAGAGCGAGACTCTGTCACAAAAAAAAAAAAAAAAAAAGTCAAGTTTTGCCATGGTTAAAAAAATCTTTACTTTTTTTTTTGAGACAGAGTCTCACTCTGTCTCTCAGACTGGAGTGCAGTGGCATGATCTTGGCTCACTGCAACTTCTGCCTCCTGGGTTCAAGCAACTCTCCTGCCTCAGCCTCCTGAGTAGCTGGGATCACAGGCACCTGCCACCACCCCCAGCTAATTTTTGTATTTTTAGTAGAGATGGGTTTTCACTATATTGGCCAGGCTAGTCTTGAACCCCTGACCTCAAGTGATCTACCTGCCTCAGACTTCCAGAGTACTGGGATTACAGGCTTCAGCCACCATGCCTGGCCAAAAATCTTAAGATGTTTACAACATCCAAGATTTATTTTTGCTCATGCTATATGTATTCATTGCAGGTTGGCTATGGCCCTGTCCATGTCATCTCACACCAGGACCCAGATGGCAGAGCTGGAGCAGTGACAGGTGTCATGAGAGGAGAAAGAGTCATGGAGAACCACACACTGGCCTTTGAAGCTATTTCCTGGAAGTGATATATGTTGCTTCTGCTCACATTTGATTGGCCACAGAAGGTCACATAGCCAAACCTGATGCCAAGGAGTGAAATAAGGTAATCTTCCCATATTTTTGCATTTTCTATTGTTCTTTCTTTCTTCCTGATGCTCCAAGATTTCTTCTTTATCCTCTCCTGTTTGTCTCAAGAGTTCCTTTTAGGCTAGGTGTGGTGGCTTACACCTGCAGTCCCAGCACTTTGGGAGGCTGAGACAGGAAGATCACCTGAGGCCAGGAGTTTGAGAGTAGCCTGGGCAGCATGGTGAGATCCTGCTTCTACACGCACACATGCACACACACACACACATACAGAAAAGAAAGAAAGAAAGAGAAAGAAAGAAAGAAAGAAAGCAAGAAAGAAAGAAAGAAAGAATTTCTTTTAGCCATTCTTTTAGGGTAGGTCTGCTGATGACAAATTCTTTTCATTTTCCTTCTCCTAAGAATGTCTTGATTTCCCCTTCATTCATGAAGGGTATTTTTGATGGCTACAGGATACTGGGCTGACAGTTATTTTCCTTTGGCACTTGAAAAAAATGTCATTTCCTTTTGGTTTTCATGGTTTCTGAAAAGCAATCTTCTGTCATTTGGATTGTTTTTCCTCTACAAATACTGTGTCATTTCTGATTGGTTTCAAGATTTTTTAGTTTCCAGAAGTTTAATTATGATGTGCCTCTGCATGGATTTCTTTGGGTTTATTCTGTTTGGGATTTGCTTAGCATCTTGAATCTGTTATGTTTTTTCCCCCTAAATTTAGGAAAATTTTTAGCCATTATTCCTTTCAATTCTTTTTCAGCTCCATCCTGTTTCTCCTTTCCTTCTGGGACCCCAATAACATGAATGCTAGATCTTTTGTTACAGTCACATAGTTATGTTCATTGTGGTCTGAGGTTACGTTCATTTTTTTCCTATCTATTTTCTCCCTGTTGTTCAGATTGGATGAATTCTGTTGTTCTATCTTCAAGTTTACTGAGTCTTTTCTCTGTCCTCTCCATTCTGCTGTTGTGCCCATTTGGTGAATTTTAAATTTTTATTATGGCATTTTTCAGTTCTAAAATTTCCATTTGATTCTTCTTTATATCTTCTATTTCTTTTCTGAGACTTCTCCCTTTTTTATTTGTTTCAATCATATTTACAATGACTTGTTGAAACATTTTTTATGACGGCTGCTTCCTTGTCAGATAATTGCAACATCTGTGTTATCGTGATATTGACATCTGTTGTCTTTTCTTATTCTGGTTGAGATTTTCCTGGTTCTTGGTATGGCAAGTGATTTTCAATTGCATCCTGGACATTTGGATATTATGTTATGAGACTCTGGATCCTATTTATTAATTTATTTTGAGACAAGGTATCACTCTGTCACCCAGTCTGGAGGAGTGTAGTAGTGCAATCTTGGCTCACTGAAATCTCTGCCTCCTAGCTCAGGTGATCCTTCCGCCTCAGCCCCCCAAGTGGCTGGGACTACAGGCATGTGCCACCACACCTGGTTAATTTTTGTATTTTTTGTAGAGACAGGGTTTTACCATGTCGTCCAGGCTGTTCTCAAACTCTTGAGCCCAAGTGATCCACCCAACTTGGCCTCCTAGAGTGTTGGGACTACAGGTGTGAGCCATTGCACCCAGCCTCTGGATCCTATTTAAATCTTCTATTTTATCAAGCCTCCTTGATACCACACTAACAGAAGGGTGTGTGTGTGTGTGTGTGTGTGTGTGTGTGTTAGGGGGTGTTGTCTGGTTCCTGCTGAGTGAGAGGTGAAGGCTTAGGTTCCTCACTTGGCTTCCATTGGTGGGGGTAGGAAACCTCAGTCCTGCTGGGTGCAGATGAGTTTTTGGGCTACTCTCTAGGCCTCTGCTGATATCATTCTGGCTAGGAGCGGGAGGGGTACCACTAGCCATGTGGTTGCCACTGATAACCTGGGGGTAAGGTGGAGGGACAGAGGCTTTATCACCACTGGATGATGGTACAAGTTCCAGCTTTCCTCTTGGCTTCCTCTACTCAGAAGGAGTGAGAGGAACACCTCACTACCACTGAGGGTGAAGAGGAAATCCAGGACCCCATGTTGCCTCCACTGACACTGTGGGGTATGCTTTTCACCGTTAGTGTGAATAAATGTCTGGGCTTTTGAGATATCTTTTCAGATTTTTTTCTATGTCTGACGACTTATGGCTCCAACTGGATCCTCCAACTGCTCCTGTGGCCCCACCCAGAAGTGACTCAGCATGTATGAGGACCATTTCCCACACCCCTATGATTGCAACCAATCAGCAGCAAGCACCCATTGCCTAGCTACTCCCCTTCTTCCCCCAAACTATCCTTGGAAAACTCTAGTCTCAGAATTTTTTCTAAGAGGCTGATTTGAGCATAATAAGACTCCAGTCTTCTCCTTCGCCAGCTCTACATGTGAAAAACTCTTTCTCTACTGCAATTCCCCTGCCTTTATAAATTGGCTCTATCTGGGCAGCAGGCAAGAAGAACCCATTGGACACTTACAGTCCCAACAGTTTTAAGTTCCACTTCTCCCAACAGTAAGTAATCTGCTCATTAACACACGCTTTATTGGCTCTTCTCCCTTCCCTGTCTCACTCTTCCCAGCCCTTCACTCAGTGCCCCTCCTAAATAAACTACTTATATCCAAGTACTTGTCCCAGGATGTGCTTTTGGAGAAACCTAAAATAAAACAGTAATTTTTGTGGCTATTCATACCTATTAATGGACATTTAACTACTTACCTTTCCTTTTCTTATTTATTTATTTCTGTATTTATTTACTCATTTTTGAGACACAGTCTCACTCTGTGGTCCAGCCTGGAGTACAGTGGTATGGCTCACTGCAACCTCCATCTCTCAGGCTCAAATGATCCTCTCACCTCAGATGCCTGAGTAGCTGCGATCACAGATGTGCACCACTACACCTGGCTAATTTTCGTATTTTTTTGCAGAGACGGGGCTTCACCATGTTGCTCAGGCTGTTCTCAAACTCCTGGCCTCAAGTGATTTGCCTACCTTGGCCTCCCAAAATGCTAGGATTGTCAGAGGCGTGTGAACCACAGCAATCCCATCTTAAATAAGAGCTGGGTAAAATAAGGCTGAAACCTACTGGGCTGCATTCCCACATGGTTAAGGTATTCTAAGTCACAGGATGAGACAGCAGGCCAGCACAAAATATAGGTCATAAAGACATTGCTGATAAAGCAGTTTTCAATAAAGGAGCCAGCCAAAACCCACCAAAACCAAAATGGCGATGAGAGTGACCTCTGGTCATCCTCACTGCTACACTCCCACCAGCGCCATGACAGTTTACAAATGCCATGGCAATGTCAGCAAGTTACCCTATATGGTCTAAAAAGGGGGGCTGGGTGCCCTGGCTCACGTCTGTAATCCCAGCACTTTGGGAGGCCGAGGTAGGCAAATCACTTGAGGCCAGGAGTTCGAGACCAGCCTGGCCAACATGGTGAAACCTTGTCTCTACTAAAAAAAATACAAAAATTAGCCAGGCCTGGTGGTGCACGCCTGTAATTCCAGCTACTCAGGGGGCTGAGGCAGAAGAATCACTTGAACCTGGGAGGTGGAGGTGGCAGTAAGCTGAGATCTCACCACTGCACTCCAGCCTGGGCAGCAAGAGTGAAACTCCATCTCAAAAATAAATAAATAAATAAAATAAAAAATAAAAAGGGGAGGCATGAATAATCCAGCCCTTGTTTAGCATATCATCAAGAAATAACCACAAAAACGGGCAACCAGCCGCCCTCAGGGCTGCTCTATGGAGCAGCCGTTCTTGTAATCCTTTACTTTCTTAATAAACTTGCTTTTACTTTGCACTGAGGACTCACCCAGAATTCTTTCTTGTGCGAAATCCAACAACCCTCTCTTGGGGTCTGGATTGAGACCCCTTTCCTGTAACAGGATTACAGCCGTGCGCCACCTCACCTGGCCTTTTTTTTTTTTTTTGAGATGGAGTCTTGCTCTGTCGCCCAGGCTGGAGTGCAGTGGTGCGGTCTTGGCTCACTGCAAGCTCCGCCTCCCCGGTTCACGCCATCCTGCCGCTTTAGCCTCCTGAGTAGCTGGGACTACAGGGGCCCGCCACCACGCCCGGCTCGTTTTTTTGTATTTTTAGTAGAGACGAGGTTTCACCGTGTTAGCCAGGATGGTCTCGATCTCCTGACCCCGTGATCCGCCCACCTCGCCCTCCCAGAGTGCTGGGATTACAGGTGTGAGCCAGGGCGCCTGGCCTCACCTGGCCAATTCTTGATTCTATCCTGTAAACTGTCCTTGGAGTTTTCCCCAGGTGACTGCCCTCTGACTTCTTCACTTTGTGAATCAGTCCTTCACATCTTCCTCTCTTAGTAGCCCAGAAACCCCAGGTTCTAACTTCCTTGTGACACAGGAGTTAAGAAGAAATTACTTAGGTAGACAGTGAGGTTACCGAAGTTCTTGGTAAGGTTTCTCTTTTAATGGAAAGCAGGCCCAAATCATTTTTCCTTCTAACAAAGAGCAGCCTGTAAAATCGGGCTGCAGACATAGATGACGGCAGTTGTGCCAATCGTGTTCAAAATGGCGGCCCCATCATCCCTTCTCTGTCAGCCACAGGTGCAGTAAGGAGCCGACAAAATGGCACCCTCCGAGAGAGTTCATTTGCATAATAAGCTTAGGGTGGGGCGGCCAGCCTTCCCAGCTATGTAAACAAACACCTGATCAAACCAATCTGTGAGTCCTAAGTAAATCAGACGCCGCCTCCTCAAGCTGGACTATAAATTCGGCTCATCTGCCTCCAGCTGCCCCTTTTCTCTCGGAAGTCCCCTCTCTCACTAGAGAGAGAGCTGTTTTCCTTTCTCTTTCTTTTGCCTATTAAACCTTCCCTCTTAAACTCCTCGCGACTCCTCGCGTGTGTCCGTGTCCTACATTTTCCTGGCATGGGATGGCAAACCCCGGGTATTTACCCCAGACAACTGGCTGCTTCACTTGCACTGGATCTTGAGGGTCGGGGAGATTTTTGACCTTTAACAGGGACTCCATCATTGCAAGTTTTCCTTGGAGACTCTTGATGGCCCAGGTTTAGTTTATACCTACTGTGAGAGCAAGAACTTGAGTAATGTATGGATGGACCTTTTTGGAAGGAAAACAATTTTCATGGACTTAAATTATTTTTATAATTTAAATGTGTGGAAACACAACTAACTATGAATTCCTTATGCTTCAGTAGTTAAGCAGTTATAAAACCAAAGCAAAGTAGCCATAGGTACAAACAAAAGTATAAAGACAAGTTTAACATTAATGTAATAAATAGTGTTTTTCTGAAATGAAGTTGCTGCTGGCAACAGACCATGTACTGCCTGATGAAGGTTCTTCCGCACTTGGCACAATATTCCACTGTGTGCCTGGCGATGACTCAATTCTTCCCCTTCTCATGTCTGTTCAAATTACTAAGAAATCTTTGTTAGAACTTGTCTCCTGGCCTTCACTTGGTACAAATGCGACCAAGACAATTAAAACTATAAATAGGTAAATGCAAATGCAGGTACTCACAAGCAGGGCCAGGATCAGTTACAAATGACCCAAAACATGCTTATAACACTTTTCAAATGCTACTAAGGAAAGTTAGACATGGAACTTAATAGTTTTCACAGGTATTCACAAGTCCTCAGGAGTCCAGAGACCTCAGTTTGAGAACACTATCCTAGCACTGACCCTGACTTCCAGGGTGACCTTGAGGTAAGCATTTACCATTTTTGGATCTCTGTACATTTTTTGTACACAAGAATAATTTGGGCCACCAGTGTTCTTGGGAGATAAAAGAAGTTAGAGGAGTTAATGACAATGTTCCAAGATGTTCAAGGACTAGAGAGAAAGGATAAGAATGTATTATAGACCTCTAGAGTTGGAAAAAGAATGGTGGCTGAGATCCTCCAGCCTAGCTTTGGCTCTGTAATCAAAAAGACTCAGATTTGGGCCAAGCATTGTGGCACACGCCTGTAATCTCATTACACTGGGAGGCTGTGGCAGAAGGATCGCTTGAGGCCAGGAGTTTGAGACTAGCCTACGTAACATGGTGAGACCCTATCTCTACCAATCTCTACATACAAACAAAAAATGGCTGGGCGTGGTGGCTCATGCCTGTAATCCCAGCACTTTGGGAGGCGGAGGCGGGCGGATCACGAGGTCAGGAGTTCAAGATCAGCCTGGCCAACATGGTGAAATCCTGTCTCTACTAAAAATACAAAAATTAGCTGGGTGTGGTGGCGGGCACGTATAATCCCAGCTACTCTCAAGGCTGAGGCAGGAGAATCGTTTGAACCCGGGAGGCAGAGGTTGCAGTGAGCCGAGAGCGTGCCATTGCACTCCAGCCTGGGCAACAGGGCGAGACTCTGTCTCAAAAAAATAAAAATAAAAAATAACAGGACATGATGGTGCCTGAGCCCCAGCTATTTGGGAGGCTGAGGTGGGAGGATGGCTTGAGAGGTTGCATTGAGTTATAATTGTACCCCTGCACTCCAGCCTGGGTGACAGAGAGCTTGTCTCTATAAAACAAATAAACAAACAACTGAGATCTGAATTCCAGATCTGCCATTTACTGTGTGTGTATGGGGGATGGGGATGGAGAGCAACTTTTCTAACTCTCAGTTTCTACCCTAAGTGGGCATGTTTCAAAATGCCACATCACAGAACTGCTGTGTGGGCCAAATGAGATGGCTCTGGAAAGCGCTGAGAGCAGAGCCTGGCTCACAGCAAGGCTCAGGGATCCTAAGACGCTGCTGAGAATTCCACAGGCTTTTTAGCAAAGGACAATAGAAAAGAGAAAGTGAAGATTCTAACATTCTGCCTATAAATGACAACATCTCCTATATGTGCAAATTAGGTCATTGTACCCTAAATAGCCCCGCAGCTGCCCTGGGCTTCCAGTCAGCCTTTCTGACCTCTCTCTTGGGTCTGCTGCTTTGCGGTGCTTCCTGCCATTCCCTGCCCAAGCCTGAATCTCTTTCCTGGCCGCTTTCACTTTCCTTCCATTTTCCAGTAATTGGAGTTGGTCACCTGTGCAGCAAGCGCCCCCAAGTGGCCTTCCTGTTCACTGTCCGGACCATAAGGCCTAAAGAATACTCCGATAAGTTTATCAAGGCCGGGCTTCCGCAGAGGCAGGACTCACCAGGCTTAGCGGTCGGTCCAGGGTCGGTCCAGTCTGGAGGCCCAGGGAGCCATTCTACATCCCCCTTTCCATTTTGGAAGACTGAGATGGAGGAATCCAGGGGAAGTTCTGGGTAGGAAGCAGCCACTTGCCATTAAGTGGCAATTAAATTGCTATTGCAATTTAAGGTAAATCGCAGCCCCTCTGGGCCTAGTTTTCTTTTTTCTCACTCTTTTTTTGGCGATAGAGTCTTGCTCCGTCACCCAGGCTGGAGTGTAGTGGTGTGATCATAGTTACTGTTACCTCGAACTCTGGGGCTCAAGCCATCCTCCTGCCTCAGCTTCTGGGTAGCTGGGATTACAAGGTTTTCTTTTTATGAGAGCCCTGCCCCACTCATGTCAGAGGGCCCTGAGGAGGCAAACACAGGATGGTTGAAAATGCTAGTAAAACACCTAGGATGTGCACTGCTGTCCTGGCTGGAGGCTTAGGGGGAGCACCATGGGACGTACACAGGATAAAGTGGGATTAACTCCTCCCTCCCCTCAGCCATTACTCTGAACTCTGCATCCCACATGCTGCTGCCAAAAACCACTTTTAAAAGAACACAAATCTAAACATGTCATTTCCCAGCTCAAAACCCCAAGGTTCTTTCTCCTCACCTTCAGAATAAGCCAAACTACTCAATGATAGGTTCCAAATCTGCCTTTCTGGTTTCACTCATGGGATGGACCCTTCTTCCAGGTGAGGCTGCATTTGGACATAGCCATATTCACGCCTCCCTGCCTTGGCTCCTCCGCTTCTCTGGCCAGGAATGGCCTTGCCTCATCTCTGCAAATCTTAGCATGACTTAAGGCCCAGTTCAAGCTCCAGCTCCTCCCTGAGGTCTTCCTGAGTCTTGTCTCCTGTCCCACTCAGGAGGACCTGGCCTCCTCCTTCCCTGGGTTCCCATGACCCTTTCCAGCTCTGCCTGTAGCACGGTGTTCTGTCTTCTGTGACTACATATATACGCCTAACACTCTCTAGATTGTAAAGGCCTGGAAGGTGGGGAGTGGGTTCCATTACTGAATGCATCTTTCATAGCTCTCTCTGTCAGAGCCCTGCCCTATGCAAACTCTTTTATTTTTATTTATTTATTTATTTATTTATTTTGAGAGGGACTTTCACTCTTGTATCCCAGGCTGGAGTGCAATGGCGCATTCTCAGCTCACTGCAACCTCCACCTCTCGGGTTCAAGCGATTCTCCTGCCTCAGCCTCCCAAGTAGCTGGGATTACAGGTAACCGCCACCATGCCTGGCTGATTTTTTTGCATTTTTAGTAGAGACAGGGTTTCACCACGTTGGTCGGGCTGGTCTCGAACTCCTGACTTCAGGTGATCTGCCTGACTCGGGCCTCCCAAAGTGCTGGGATGATAGGCATGAGCCACTGCACCTGGTGCCCTATGCAAACTCTTATTTTATTATTATTATTTTTTGAGACAGAGTCTCCCTCTGTCACCCAGGCTGGAGTGCAGTGGTGTGATCTTGGCTCACTGCAACCTCCACCTCTCAGGTGCAAACAATTCTCCTGCTTCAGCCTCCCAAGTAGCTGGGGTTACAGACGCGCACCACCACACCCAGCTAATTTTTTTCTATTTTTAGTAGAGATGGGGTTTCACCATGTTGGCTAGGCTGATCTCAAACTCCTGACCTCAGGTGATCCACCCACCTCGGCCTCTCAAAGCAAACTCTTAATAACAACTGTTGTGGAATGACTTGGGAGGTGGCACTCAGAGATCCCAAGTGACACATGAGAAGTCCACAGAGAGAGATCATGTTTAGTGGAGTTTGGATGGTTGCTTTTATCAGTGGGCCTGTACCTTACAGATGCTATCTCATTATCTTCTAAACAGACTCTGGGCCAGTGACCATTATCTCCCTCTTACTGATGTAGACTCAGCCAAGAGAAGCCAGATGTTGAGTCGGAACCTTAACTCTCCCTCTCAGACGCAGAGCCCTGCTTTCTCCCCTCCCATTTGATACTCTGCTTCCTCTTGCATGCTGTGAGAGGCGGCCTCATTACTCCTCTTCCCTCCTCCAGTCCCTCCAAGCCTAATTCATCACCTTTGGCTTTGGGATCATAGTTTCCAAACCAAGGATTGTCTGAACATTGTCTGACAATGCCCTTTTTTTTTTTTTTTTAGGCAGGGTCTTGCTCTGTTGCCCAGGCTGGAGTGCAGTGGTGCAATCATGGCACACTGCAGCCTTGACCTCCCGGGCTCAGGTGATCCTCCCACCCAGCCTCCTGGTGCGCATCACCACATCCAGCTAATTTTGGTATTTTTTGTAGAGATGGGGTTGTGCCATGTTGCCCAAGCTGGTCTCGAACTTCTGGGCTCAAGCGATCAGCCCTCCTTGGCCTCCCAAAGTGCTGGGATTATAGGCATGAGCCACCGCAACTGGCACCATTGCCATTGGTATTTAAGAGGTGATGGTTTAGGCTTTGAAATTGGGGTTGTTTGTGAAAACTGAGAGCACCTTTTGTTTTCAGATATTTCCTATGGCCATTGGTGTAATTGGAGGGAAGCTCTCGCCATATATAATATTTTTGAGACAGCCAACTAAGAAACTGGGATTCTGGTTCTCTCCAGGGTGCAAAATCCTGGGAGAAGGAAGTGAATTCTCAGGGGCCCAGAAGGAGTCTCTAAAGGACCTCTGCCAGTCAATTCTAATCTCTCTTCTCCCCTGCAAATCAGCCCCTGCTTCTGCCTCTTTCTCCGCCTCTCCTAGATTCTCCCCCTCTGGAGGGCCTGAGCTCCCGGCCACCACCCCCAATGCCGCTTTCTGTTTCCTCTGCCTCCCTTCATCTCCTTTTGTCTGGGGTTTCTTTGTCTGGGGTCTCCCTTTGGTTCTGTTTCACAGTTCTCAGCCTCCCCTCCCTTTCTCCACAGCCAGGCTGCTCAGTCCCTCTCTGCGGGGGCCTAGAGGCTCGGTGAGGGGAGCGGGACTTGGTTGCCATGGTCACATTGAAGCCAGCCGCAGCTGGCCCGGGCAGCTGCTCCTCCTGGGCCCGGGGCCCCGGACGCTCGGACAAAGCCAGGCAGCGTTGGCAGCCCCAGACCCGACCCCAAAGGCCTGAGACTGGGGTGACTGGGACCTAAGAGAATCCTGAGCTGGAGGTGAGAGGGGGGAAGCCAGAGATGAACTGGGAGGGCAGGAGTGGGCACTGGAGCTGGGCCCTCCCCTTGTGGGCAGGGACCAGGCGGTCCCCGGCTGGAGGCTGGAGGTGTGTTGGGAGGAGGGGAGCGGCCCAGAGCCTGGCAGGGAGGAGGGGAAAGAGAGGGAATAGAGTTGGGTGCCATGGTGTGGTGAATGGGCTGAGGGACTAGGGTGTCCCCAAAGGGGGACCGTTGTCCAGAAACAGGTTAGATTCTCTCTTTGGTCCTCATGTCCCCATCTGTCCCGCAGGTGCCTCTTCCTTTCTCAGCCTTTTATACTTCTCATCTCCCCGTGTCCCTTAGCTTCACACTCTGCGCCCCAGTCTCCCTCCTCTTTCCCTCCACTCTCTGTTTCACTCCAGCCCCTTCTTCCCTTGTCCTTGCTTCTTGTCCCCTTGATCTGTCTGCCCAGCTCTCAAGCCTCCTCAGTTCCCTGCCTTCCTCTCTTAGGAGTTTGTTTCCAACACTGTTTCCTTCCCGAGTCCACTTCAGTTCCTTCATCCAGTTCAGCCCTTTTCTTCCCAAACTTCAGTCTCCTCCTCTGAGCCCCTGGGGCTTCCCACCTTTTGCTGTGTGTGCCCTGTCTTCATCCTCCTTTTCCTCTCTCAGACCTGTCTCCTTGGCCTTGACCTCAGTCCATCTCCGTCTCTCTGGGAATTCTCTCACCATTGTCCCCATCTGACCATCAGCCTCCTCTCCCTCTTCTGGTCCCTTGCCCTTTTCTTCCCCAACCACAGCTGAGCTGTTTCATCTCTCTCCCAGAGCTACGTCATCTCAATCTCCTCCTTCGCTCCCTGGCCTCAGTTTCCAGTTTATTCAGTGGCATCAGGTCTGACTCACACCCAAAGCCTTGTACACTCCTTCACCCTGCCCCCCACCCGTCGCTTCTTACTCTCCCCAGCTGCTGACCCAGCCTGCTCCTCCAGAGGCAGCTGCAGCTCCCGGAAGGGGACTGCAGCTAGTGTATGTGTGGGGGCCCATCTGGTCCGTCCTCTCGCTCGCTGGTCGTGCTGGGCTTCCCTCCTGTGGCCAGGTGGTCTGCAGGCCTGAAGCTGCCTTCTCCCCTCTCCTACGTGCCTCTCCTCACATTTTTTCAGCTGTTTCCCATCCTCTCCTTCCTGGGCAGCAGGCTGCCACTGGCTTGAAGGGGAGGGAAGCCCAGGATGGGAGGGGATGGTAGAGGGTCATTTGGGGGTTCTCAGGGACACAGGGGGCCTCTGGGGTTCGGAGTGATGCAGGAGATGTGGAATGGGCTCTGGGGACCACGGATGGGTAATCAGGCCCTCTTGGTCTTTGGTGCTGCTCTCTGGGCCCCAGGATGGCTGGGATTTCCCTCTCAGGCCCCTGGGAATCTCGGCTCCGAGTCCCGCATTCCAGCTGGCTCCAGCTCCCTTTCCGTTGTCACTTGACTCCACTGGGCCCCAGCCTTGCATCCCTCCCACTCCTCCAGCCTGGAGCTGGGGCGAGGTGGGCATCACCACTAGGAATTTCTCCTGAGGCAGTGAGAAGAGGGGACAAAGGTTTCAGGACTCTCTAGCTCCTTCTGCTCTCCCCAGTGGACCCCTCTGTCTGGCACTGCCATGCCACTTAGCTGGGGTCAGCGTGGGCCTGGGGTGTGGAATGTCCCACCAGGGTATGACAGGCTGTAGCTTGCCTGGCAGGCCTGTTGGGGCTTTCCCAGAGCACAGCTCCTGGAAGGAGGGGCTGTGGGCTGCCAGGTGAGGTGACTTGGGAAGCCTTGGCCCCACCCCCAGGCTGGCCCCACCCCCAGTCCAGCGTCTCCTGGGCCTAGATTCCCCAGCTGCTGTTCTCTGGAGGGGTAGGTGTTCTGGGGGAATGAATCCCTGGGGGCTTGGTGGGACAGGAAGGCGGGAAGAAGCTGCTCTTCGAGTGACCCTGGGGCTGTCTGTTAGCAGGTCCCTCAGCCGTTGGAACGTCCTTGGGCTTCTGAACTAGTGCCCATGTGTGCCTCGGCCTTTCCCAAGGGCCAGCTTCTTCCTGGTAGTGCTTTTGTGTACTTGTCTGGTTGGGACTTCGTGTTTCTTTCTTGGGATTGTTGTCTGGGACTGCAAGCAGGGTATGTTTTTATCTACTGTGAGGTTCCTGGGGCGGAGATGTGCAGTGGAGCGAGAACTTCCTGTGACCGTGACATTGTCTAGGTGGTGAGCAGGTGTGGGGGTGTGGAGAGAGGTGAGGGGCTGAGGTAGTGCTGAGTGGGGAAAAAGCACCTCCCACCACAAGCTGTTCTGTCCCGCTCCATCCTCTGCCCAGTAGCTCTCTCAGTTGCTTTGCCTACTCAGTCTCACTGTTTCATCTTCCCTGGGTCTCTTGGTCCCCTTCCTTTTGACTGTGTGTGATTTTCAGTGTGCCTCCATCCTTCTCCTGCTCCTCTTCTTCCTCCTCCCGACCACTCAACTTTGTCCTGGCCTCATTTTTGGCCTCTTCTGGCCAGTGATCAGACCCTCTGGCCCACTACGGCCAGAGCTGGCTGGGCCTGAGGGAGGCTTGCCCTGAGGACTCCTGAGTCCCCCTCCCACTCCACTCCGTTGGGAGCCCAGGGGAATCAGGGCCTGGGCGTCTGGACCCCCGGGTCCCTTAGAACGCCCTTCAGAGAGAGGAACTGAGAGGAGAAGGAGAAGAGAGTGGGCCCGCCTTCAGGGTCTGGGGCCTTCCAGGTTGGGTCGTAGGGGCGGGAGCGCACAGGCTGCGAGAGAGGAGCAAAGGTTGGTGGAGGGAGAAGAGCAGTCTGGGGCCTGGCTGGACAGGTGAGCCCTGAGACCTGAGCTCTGCTCCCTTCTCTGGGCTAACTCCCGCAGCTGGGGTGGGCCGAGCCTGTGGGAACCTGCTTCTTCCTCTGTGCCCTGGGGCTGCTCCCCTTTGCCTCTCCCACCAGGAACCGATCCCAGAAGTAGGAGGGGCGTCTTCCCCTCGTGGGCCCTGAGCGGGACTGCAGCCAGCCCCCTGGGGCGCCAGCTTTGGAGGTTCTCGTTTGGGGAAGCGGGGGTGGGCTGCGAGTGGGTGGAGGGGGCTGGGCGCGGAGCCGGCCGGAGGCAGCGGCGCGGGCGGCTGGGCGGCCTGGGAGCGCCCAGGCGGGCTTGGCGGGCGGGTTACCTGGGGGAGGCCGGGCCGGGCGCTAGCGCGCGGGGTGGGCGTGGCGGGCGCGGGGCCTGGAGCTCGGCGCCGGGCGTGGGAGCCACTGGGACTACTGGGTCCGGGAGGGGGAAGGGAGGGCTGCGAGCCCGAACGCGCGGCGAGAAGGCCGAGGGGAGGGAGGGGAGCGAGGAGCGGGAGGAGGAAGGGAGGGAGCCGAGGCGAGGGGGAGGCGGCGCCTGGGCCCGAGCCGCCCCAGCCCTGGCTCCTCTCCCCGGAACAGGCCCCCGACAGCTGCTCTCGGGAGCCGCCTCCCGACACCCGAGCCCCGCCGGCGCCTCCCGCTCCCGGCTCCCGGCTCCTGGCTCCCTCCGCCTCCCCCGCCCCTCGCCCCGCCGCCGAAGAGGCCCCGCTCCCGGGTCGGACGCCTGGGTCTGCCGGGAAGAGCGATGAGAGGTAGGGAGAGCGGCGGCGGAACCCGCGGGCGGAGGCCTGGGGCTCTTGGGGTGGGGGCGCGCGGCGGCGCCTGCAGGGCGAGGGGCGGGGGAGGCAGGACGTCCCGAGCCATGCTTGGTCGTCCAGCTCTTCTAAGCCTCCCTGCCCGCCTCCCCGATGCTCTGGCATACCGTCTGAAAACCGGGGGCGGGGACTGGGTGGAGGTGAAGCCCGTGACCTCCCAGAAAGAGTTTTGAGCCTCCAGCCTTGAGGCAAGTCCCCTCTCACTCAGTGCGGAGGAACTGAGCCCCGGGAGGAGGTGCTCCTGTGCAGCCCCACTGAGTCAGCTCATCTATCGCCTGCCCTCCACCTGGCCAGTCCCTGCGGGCATCTAACTGCTAAGCCTCCGCTCAGCCAACACCCAGTTGGTCAGTCTGGTCACAGTCCAGCAAAAAGAGGGACTGCCACTCTAACCCACCAGTGACACCACTCTTCCCGGCTGGATGGTCAATTAGCTCTGGCATGAGAGAATGTCACTGCCGGTGAGCGCCAGCTTCAGGGTCCCACCCCCCCATGCCTGGCTCTTGGCTGAACATTTCTTCCCAGCGCTTCCAGCAGCCAGAGGCAGGCGCCCAAGCTCGCTGGCTGTTGCTGAGGGCCTGTAGGTGTGTCCAGGACTGAGTGGTGTGGTGGAGACAGGTGAAAGGGGAGTGAGTGGAAAGGCAGGGAAAGGCTGTTGTCCTTATTGCCACTCTTCCCACCCAGCGCCCACCTGTTCCCTGCCCCCTCGACGTCCCTCTGGCTTGGTCACCCATGTGTGTTAGAGGCTGGGCCCCAGTTCTCTGGGGATCCTGTGCCCAAGGGCCCGGGTGTGTGTGTCTCATGCTGTCTTTTGGTCACAGGAGCATGTGGTGTCTGTCATTTCATGTTCACAGGTGTCTGAAGGTGGCTATTCACTGAGCGATGGGGTTGGACTTGAAGGAATGCCAAGGTGTGGACGGGTTGATGTATGCATGAGCTTCTGTGTTTGCTCTGTCTCAGAAACTCTGTGAGGGTTGTCAGGGACACTGAGAGGTGGGTGTGTGCATGCCACATTTAGCCTCGCTGTTTACAGCCAGTTCAGTAAGTTTGTGTGTTTCACCGTGTGTGTGTGTACAGAGCTGTGTGGGTGTTGTCTGAGTGGGACTTGGGGGTTGGGAGAGGAGCGTGAAGGGCTTGAGGCAGGGTGGCCTGGCCCCTGGTTTGTCTTTGGTTGTAATGGAGTGGAAGGGGGTGGGATTGGGGAAGGTCTTCTGGGCTTGTCCTCTCTTGCCCTCTGGGTCTCTGACTATGGACTGAAGACCCAGTGGAGAGAGATGAGGTGACTGGGGGTGTTGGAGAACAGACAGCCCAGACGTCTCTGTGCTTCTCCGTGTTCCTCTGCTTGGCTCTGTGCCCCGTGTTTCTGAGCCTGCTCTATTTACCTCTTGCATTGTGGCTCTCGCTCTGTCTCCGCCTGCCTCGTATCCTCTGCCTGCCTTTGTATCTCTGCCCCGGGCTCCTCTCGGCTCTGTGTGGCTCTGATGACTCATCTGGGATAGGCATGAAGGTTACTTAGGGGAACAAGAGCCCCGCTGTTCCCGAGAGAGGTGGGGTTGGAGAGCGGCACCCAGGAATTCCAAGCCAGTCTCCTGGGACTCTGGCAGCCTGCTCCCCGGCGCTGGACCCTAAGGGACCAGGCGTGATGCCTTCTGGTTCTAGCCTCTGAGTGCCCCCCACAACTCAGTCGTCCCCCTCAGCTGCTGCTTCAGAGCTCTGGGGTCTCAGCTGCCTCTTACATTCCTGCCCTAGTGCATTGTGGGAGCAGCTGGAGGAGGACAAAGGGATGGGGGAGTATCCCCCACTCCTCCTACCTCCTGGGGTGACCTGCCTTCCTTGTCTTTAGACCCGCCCTCGTCTCCAAGGCAACTCAGCCTTTCCTCAGTCCCTCAGAGGCAGCCACCTTCTGGAAGTGGGAACTGGGGGGACTGGATGTCTGGGTCTCAGGAAGGCAGAGCAGGGATAACTGGGCCCAAGATGCCCTGAACCTGATAAGAGGTGGCAGTCGAGTCCCTCAGGACTCCAGGGCCTGGAGACTTCAGTACAGGGCTCTGAGACCAGTACAGGTTAGGATAGCTTTTCCTGCAGCAGGGGAGGGGAGAGTAGTTACTTGGGTTTGTAAGGAGATGCCATTTAGAATAGTTTTATGTGGGGTAAGCTTCCTGGGCCTGAGGAACAGAGTAGGGATTTTCAAACTTTAATGGGCACAGGTCACCTGGGAATTGTGTTAAAAGGCAGATTTTGATTGAGCAGGTCAAGGGTGAGCCTGAGATTCTGATTTCTTCCATGCTTCCAGGTATTGCTGATGGTCCAGGGACCACCCTGGGCCTAGAGGGCTATAGGGGACAGTAAGACTAGAAGGTGCTGGGGTCCCCTCTGCCCTTCTCTTAGAATTCTGGACTCCTATGTGGGAGGGCAGCAGGGTGAGCTGGTCCAGGCTTATCTGATGTTTAATTCTATCATATCCTCAACAAGGAATTGCCCAACCTTTCCTGGGACATATTTATTTTTTAAAAGTCAAAATGATTTTCATATTCTTTTACATATCTTATGATTTTACATAAATGCATTTATGTTACAAGATTTAGAAAAATAGTACAATCAACCTGTCTTTTTAAATTTGCTTTTCTTTTGCCCCGTTCATGTTAACTCTTGTTATATTGTATTCTATTGTTATATTCTATTATATATTCTCTCCTTCTAGACGTACACACAGGTATATATACAAACATGGGTGCTTGTTTATTCTATTTTCAAAAGGTGGGATATTTTTTATACTTCTGTTGCTTGCTTTTCATATTCAACAGATATACATGGAAATCACACAAAGTTAGGAATATATTGCCTCTTTGTTACTTTTCATAGCTGCATAGTAGTCAATAAACCTTATTTTTTTTAATTCCAGCCTGTCCCCTGTGGGCATTCACATATCTTACAGATTTATGTCTTACAAAAGGTACCATAATAAACATCTTTGAAATCTTCTTTTTTATTTTTATTTTTCACTTTTTTTAAAGAGATGGGGTCTCACTATGTTCACCAGGCTGGTCTCTAACTCCTGGCCTCAAGTGATCCTCCCATCTCGGCCTCCCAAAGTGCTGGGGTTACAGGCATGAGCCACCAGACCCAGACCTGCACATATGTTCTTACTTCCTGGTGCTTCTCTCTCGAGGGAATGCTGGGTCGAAGAGGATGTGCATTTTTAATTATAATAGACATTGCTAGATTGCTTTCCAAATAGAAGATAACACTCATTTCTGCCATTGAGCATGGTGCCTCCCTTTTCATCACTTTCTACCACTTTTATATGTTACAGCCTTAAAAAAATATCTTGTCAGTCTGCTTGGTATTTCCCTGAGGCTGGTGAATTTGACCATTAAAAAAAATGTTTGTTGGCAATTTGGCTTTGCTTTTCTGTGAAATGACTATTCACATTCTTTGGCTGTTTCTTTATTGGGTTACTTATATATTTTTTCTTGTCAGTTCCTAAGGGGCCTTAGTTTATTGTAGTTATTAAACCTTTTCCTGTTGTATGTGTTATAAACATTTTTTGCACACTTGTTGTTTGTTCTAAGCCGTTGTTTATGGGGATATTTTGCCCATTCCTGATTGGAGAAATGGGGCTTTAGGAAGTTATTTAACTGATCTCTGCCCTAGTTTCTTCATGTGTTAAATATGGATAGTAATAGTATCTACCTTATGAAGTGACTGTGAAGATAAAATTATGGATTCTGTTTAAGGGTTTAGGCCAGTGTCTGGCACAGGGGAAGCATTCTAAAAATATAGCTGATGCTGTTAAACAATGACTGTTGTTGTTGTTTTACTGTTATTATCCCCAAAGCGGCCCATTCTGTCTGTTGCTGTCAGCTATGACTCAGTCCCCTGATTAACTTACGCACCACCCATTTTATCCCCTGCAGAGATGCTGCCCCCACCCCCTTAGGCCCGAGGGATCAGGAGCTATGGGACCAGAGGCCCTGTCATCTTTACTGCTGCTGCTCTTGGTGGCAAGTGGAGATGCTGACATGAAGGGACATTTTGATCCTGGTGAGGAGACTGAATCATGGGTCCCTGAGGGCCAGGGCTTGGGAGGTAGAGAGTTGGGGGCCTTGACCTGTTACATGCCTGCTTTTTACTCAGCCAAGTGCCGCTATGCCCTGGGCATGCAGGACCGGACCATCCCAGACAGTGACATCTCTGCTTCCAGCTCCTGGTCAGATTCCACTGCCGCCCGCCACAGCAGGTACTTGGCACACCTGGCACACTTGTAGCTGCCCCGAGAGGAGCTCCTGGGACCTCTACTTCCCCTCCAACCCCTCTGCCCATGCCAGTGAAACCCCTGCAGGCTGAGGGGGCAAATGAAGTGGGGTTTAAATACTGGAGATGGAGGCAGACCTGGGGCCAGATGTTCTCTGTGCCCCTCTTCACCCTCAGGTTGGAGAGCAGTGACGGGGATGGGGCCTGGTGCCCCGCAGGGTCGGTGTTTCCCAAGGAGGAGGAGTACTTGCAGGTGGATCTACAACGACTGCACCTGGTGGCTCTGGTGGGCACCCAGGGACGGCATGCCGGGGGCCTGGGCAAGGAGTTCTCCCGGAGCTACCGGCTGCGTTACTCCCGGGATGGTCGCCGCTGGATGGGCTGGAAGGACCGCTGGGGTCAGGAGGTGAGACTGGCAGGGGCAGCACCCAGAGGAGGTTGGCTCTCCTCACTTCCAGCTGTACTTTAAACACCACCTATACGCTGACGACTCTCCAGTTTATATCATCTCCAGACTAAGCCTCTCAGCTGAGCTCCAAACAATATTGTAAACCTGGCCACCTTTTGGATTTCTCCACTTAGATGTCTTTTTTTTTTTTTCTAATAGATGGGGTCTTGCTGTGTTGCCCAGGCTGGTCTTGAACTCCTGGGCTCAGTGATCCTCCCACCTTAGCCTCCCAAAGTGCTGGGATTACAAGCACTGTAGCCAGCCACCTAGATGTCTAATAGGCATCTCAAACGTACGTTTAACTTCCCAAGCTGAATTTGATTCCCATTCCCAGCCTAAACCTGCTCCTCCCCTGGCATTCTCCAGCTCAGGAAGTGGTATCACCATTGCCTGGTTGCCTAGGCTATAAGTTAAGATGATATCCTTGATTCCTTTTTTTCTCTCACCTCCTTCCAAAGCATCAGCAGCCCCGTCTGTTCTACCTCCATAGTGTTCCTGAGTCCAGTCACTCCTCACCACTCCACCTCTACTGCCCTAGGCCACCTGCCCGCCATCTCCAGCTTAGATGAGTGCAGTAGATGCCAAACGCGTCTCCCTGCTTCTGCCCTTTTCTGCCTGGAGTCAAATCTCCACCTGGGGGGGCGGCATCCAGTGGACCTTAGAGCATGTAAATCAGATACGTCACACCTAGCTGACACCCCCATGCTGGCTTTCCACTCTGCCAGAACAAAAGCTGAGTCCCTAGCTGGTGCAGGATGCTCAGCCTGACCTGGCTCCTGCCTGCATCACTTGTTTCTTGGCGCCTCCTTGGCCACGCTGCCTTTCTTCTTGTTGCTGGAACAAGCCAGGGCTCGTTCCCACAGCTTCTGGACATTTTCTCTGTGCCTGCAAAGCTCCTCCCCTAAATAACCACAGGCTCTCCCTCACTCCATTCAGTTCTCTGCCAGGTGTCACCTCCTTAGAGAGCCTTTTCTGGCCACCCACCTCACTGCTCTGTCCATACTTCCTGCCTCTTGTTCTTCGCAGCTGTTTTCCCTGCTGGGATCTCAGTCCTACAAGGGTGGGGAGTGACGTTCACCACTGAGAACGCGCCTGGCACAGAGCGGGCACTCAGCCAACTTCTGCTGAATGAACAGAGGGAATGGGCTGAAATGAAGGGGAAGCTGAGGCAGGGGTGCAGGGCTGTGAGGATTGGGGAGAATCTGGGCACAATGGGATGATAGGCTTGGAGACAAATGGATGGAG
Organism: Homo sapiens; assembly: GCF_000001405.40. Classification (NCBI taxonomy): domain Eukaryota; kingdom Metazoa; phylum Chordata; class Mammalia; order Primates; family Hominidae; genus Homo; species Homo sapiens. Next base: position 2,234,867 of record NT_167247.2, read on the forward strand.
CCAGGCAAGGAGAAGAGGGCAGCTGAGCCTGAAGTCTGAGGATGGAACATCAGAGCTGCGACAGAGCCAGAGGTCTCAGCTGCAGATCTTCATTTCACCCATGCCTGGCTGCGCCCCACAGTGCTGTGTGCTCGGTGCCACCCCTCATGGGTCTCTAAGTGGCCACTGTGGGCTGGGCCAGGGAGCAGCTGGTGGGTGGGAAGTAAGATCTGACCTGGACTCCATCCCACCCACCCCCTGTTTCCTGGCCCACAGGTGATCTCAGGCAATGAGGACCCTGAGGGAGTGGTGCTGAAGGACCTTGGGCCCCCCATGGTTGCCCGACTGGTTCGCTTCTACCCCCGGGCTGACCGGGTCATGAGCGTCTGTCTGCGGGTAGAGCTCTATGGCTGCCTCTGGAGGGGTGAGTGGCTCAGCTTCCTGGGAATCTGTTTCCTGAGCAGGGGACTGGAGGGTGGGGAGTGTGGAGAATGGGCATCCAGGATCCCTTCTCCTGCTGGGAAGCTGTCACTCTGAGGAGGGGGCTAGCCAGCATTGTCTCCTCCATGCCAATGAGCCAGTGGAGAGATACAAGAAGGGACCTGAAACCTGCCCAGGCCTGATGCAGGGATGGGGGATGGAGCCTTAGTGCCTCTGACCCCCATCCTCTCACCCTGCCCCAGATGGACTCCTGTCTTACACCGCCCCTGTGGGGCAGACAATGTATTTATCTGAGGCCGTGTACCTCAACGACTCCACCTATGACGGACATACCGTGGGCGGGTAAGAAAGGCCCCTGCAGGATATGGAGTTTGGGGTGGGAGGGAGGACTGTGTGTGTGTGTGTGTGTGTGTGTGTGTGTGTGAGTGTGTGTGTGTAGGGGGGCTGGTAAGTAGGGTGGGGAGTGAGATGGAAGAGCTGAGAAGAGGGATGGGTTAGGTGGGGCCTCAAAGGGTAGCACTAGGGTGACCACTAGCCCGTATGACACTGTATGAAAAAGGCACCCCTTTGCTAACACACATTGTTGGAAATTGCTGCAATAAATATACACATCATAGATTGAAATGGTGCCCCTTAGAGGTGGTGCCTTTGTGCTGGATGTGACCTGCAAGGTACCTGTAGTGCTGGGGTGGGGTGGAGAGAGGAGAAGGGCCAGCTGCATGAGTGTGAGGTGGGATGGGAATGGGACTAGTGGATGGGAGCCAGGCTGGCCATGCCACTGTGCCGGAGGGTGGCGGAGCAGAATGCCTGGATGTCAAGACCCTCTTCCCTTCCAACCTCCTCTTCCTTGGTCCCCTCTTCTCCAGACTGCAGTATGGGGGTCTGGGCCAGCTGGCAGATGGTGTGGTGGGGCTGGATGACTTTAGGAAGAGTCAGGAGCTGCGGGTCTGGCC
>NT_167247.2:2246413-2295265 GCF_000001405.40 Homo sapiens
GGCCAGGCTGGTCTCAAACTCCTGACCTCGTGATCCGCCCACCTTGGCCTCCCAAGGTGCTGGGATTACAGGCGTGAGCCACCGTGCCCAGCCCCACCTGCAGTTAATTTAAAAGTCAGGCCCTGCTTGTCCAAACCTGCTTCTCCTCCACAGTCTACTGACTCAGTGAATGGCAGCATCATCCACTTAGCTGCACAAGCCGCACAAGGTGGCATCCCCGAGCTCCTTCTCCCTTACCTTCCACCTCTCAAGTCCAGTCCAGCACAAAACGCTGTTGATTTTGCCTCCCAAATCTCCCTGGAACTTGTCATCTCTGTCTCCATCGCCCTCCTGGCACATGCTGCCTCCATCTTGCCTGGACTCCTGCAGTGGTCTCCCAGCTGTCACCCAGATCTGCCTCTGCTCCTCTCTGGGTTGTTTTCCACCCTGCAACCACAGTTATCTTTAAAACACACAAATCTGACCCTAATCCTTCATTTCAAATCCAGCAGTGACTTTTCATTAATCTTAAAATGAAGAACAAAATCCTTCTGGCCAAGGTTGGCCCCCACATACCTCTCCAGCGTCCTCCCCCACCCGCTTGCTTTCCTCTGTGGGCCACTGGCCTTCTTTCAGATTCACCCAATGGGCCACAGTACTTCCTGCCACGTGGCCTTCGTGGCATGCTGTTCCCTCACCTGGAACAATGTTCCCTGCAGTCTGTGCCTTATTAACTCCTGCTTGTCCTTCAGCAGTCTTTCCTGACTTCCCCAACCAGGTCAAATTCCCTACTGATAATCTCAGAGGACATGAATCTCTTCTTTGTGGCACTTACTACGTGTGTAATTTTACATATCTTTTTATACCTGCCCCTCCCACCAAACTATAAGTTGCACAAGGGCAAAATCTTGGAACACAGGGCTCAATATTGGTTGAAAGAAAGAATTGTAGCAAATATCTGATAGACTAACATAGATTCTATGTAGTTACAGAACTAGAACTAGGATTAATAAGTGAAAGTTACAATAATGATGATAATATATTACTGAGCACCCACTATATACCAGGTATTGAAATTACGACATATTATATCTTACTTAATACAACAATATATGAAGTAGTTAAAATTACTTTGCACAGAGAAGAAAATTCTGTTAGGTTAAGCAGCTTGCCCAAAGTAGCAGTCAGTCAACAGTAAAGCCTGTGGGAAGTGGGTCTGTGGGCTCCTGGCTCTCTGTTCCTTTTTTTTTTTTTTTTTTTTTTTGAGACAAAGTCTTGCTCTGTCACCCAGGCTGGAGTTCAGTGGCACTATCTCCGCTCACTGCAACCTCCGCCTTCTGGGTTGAAGCGATTCTCCTGCCTCAGCCTCCTGAGTAGCTGGGATTACAGGCACCTGCCACCATGCCCGGCTAATTTTTGTATTTTTAGTAGAGACTGGGTTTCACCATGTTGGCCAGGCTGGTCTTGAACTCCTGATGTCTTGATCCACCCTCCTCGGTCTCCCAAAGTGCTGGGATTACAGGTGTGAGCCACCACGCCTGGCCCTGGCTCTCTGTTCTTTCTCTCCAGGATGCTGCCTGAGAGGAGGAGGTCATGAGCTCCCTATCACAGGAATTTTCTTTTTTGAACTACCATGCCCACTAACATGCTGGCCAACACGGTGAAACCCTGTCTGTACTAAAAATACAAAAAAAAATTAGCCAGGCATGGTGGTTCACGCCTGTAATCCCAACTACTCGGAAGGCTGAGGCACAAGAATCGCTTGAATCTGGGAGACAGAGATTGCAGTGAGCCAAGATTGTGCCACTGCATTTGACCTGGGTGACACTGTAAGACTCTGTCCCCTCACCCCCTCCAAAAGAGGTGTGCCTATTTCAATTTTTTTTTTTTTTTTTTTTTTTTTTTTTTTTTTTAATTTGAGACAGACTCTCATTTTGTTGCCCAGTCTGGAGTGCAATGGTGTGATCTCAGCTCACTGCAACCTCCACCTCCAGGGCTCAAACAACCCTCCTGCCTCAGCCTCTCAAGTAGCTGGGCCTACAGGCATGCACCCTCATGCCCAGCTAATTTTTTTATTTTTTGTAGAGACAGGGTTTCACCATGTTGCCCAGGCTGGTCTCAAACTTCGGGGCTCAAGTGATCTGCCTGGCTTGGCCTCCCTTCAAAGTGCTGAGATTACAGGCGTGAGCTACTGGACCCGGCCTCAATTTTCAGCAAAAGTGTATGAGTATGCTCCTATACCCTGGTCAACATTGAGGTTGTCAATCCTTAATTTCTTTTTTGCTGAACTTTTATATTTTAATTTTATTTATGTATTTATTTTGAGATAGAGTCTTGCTCTGTTGCCCAGGCTGGAGTGCAGTGGTGTGATCTCGGCTTACTGCAACCTCAGCCTACTGGGTTCAAGTGATTCTCCTGCCTCAGCCTCCCAAGTAGCTGGGATTACAGGCGCCCGCCACCATGTCTGGCTAATTTTTGTATTTTCAGTAGAGACGGGGTTTCACCCGCTCAGGCTAGTCTCGAACTTCTGACCTCAAGTGATCCACCCGCCTCAGCCTCCCAAAGTGTTGAGATTATAGGTGTGAGCCACTGCCTCCGGCCGATTTATTTATTTTTATTTTTATTTATTTATTTATTTTGAGATGGAGTTTCACTCTTGCCCAGGCTGGAGTGCAATGGTGTGGTCTCAGCTCACTGCAACCTCTGCCTCCCGGGTTCAAGTGATTCTCCTGCCTCAGCCTCCCAAGTAGCTGGGATTACAGGCGCCCGTCACCATGCCAGCTAATTTTTGTGTTTTTAGTAGAGACAAGGTTTCTACTAAAATGTTGACCAGGCTAGTCTGGAACTCCTGACCTCAGGTGATCCACCCACCTTGACCTCCCAAAGTGCTGGCATTACAGGTGTGAGCCATGGCGCCTGGCCTATATATTTATTTTTAAGAGACAGTCTAATTCTGCGGCCAGGCTGGAGTGCAGTGGTGTAACTGTAGCTCACTACAGCCTTGAACTGCTGGACTCAACCAATCTTCCTACCTCAGCCTCCTGAGTAGCTAGGACTTCAGGTGTGTGCATACCGAGCTAATTTCTTTTTCTCTTTTCTTTTCTTTTCTTTTTTTTTTTTTTTTTTTTTGAGACAGGGTCTCACTGTATAGCTCAGGCTGGAGTGCAGTGGCATGATCACAGCTCAGTGTAGCCTTGACCTCCTGGGTCCAAACAATCCTCCTGCCTCAGCCTCCTGAGTAGCTGGGACCACAGAACCAGGCCTGGCTAATTTTTTGAATTTTTTTTTTTTTTTTTTGAGACAAAGTCTCGCTCTTGTCCCCCAGGCTGGAGTGCAATGGTACGATCTCAGCTCACTACAAACTCCACCTCCCGGGTTCAAGCGATTCTCCTGCCTCAGCCTCCCGAGTAGCTGGGCTTATAGGCGCCTGCCACCACGCCCGGCTAATTTTTGTATTTTTAGGAGAGACGGGTTTCACCATGTTGGCCAGGCTGGTCTCGAACTCCTGATCTCGGGTGATCCACCCACCTCGGCCTCCCAAAGTGTCGGGATTACAGGCGTGAGCCACCGTGCCCAGCCAATTTTTTGATTTTTGAAACATTTCTGATATTCTGTTTAACTTTCTTTTTGCTTTGGCCAATCTTTCTTTCTCTTTCCTTCTTTCCCCCTCCCTAACCCTCCCTTCCTCTCCCCTCCCCAATTCTCCCCTCTCCAGTTCTCCCCTGTCCTCTCCTCTCTTCCCCTCTCCTTTTGGGACAGGGTCTCACACTGTTGCTCAGGCTGGAGTGCAGTGGTGCTATCATTGCTCACTGCAGCCTCAATCTCCTGGGCCCAAGTGATCCTTCTACCTCAGCCTCTTGAGCAGCTGGGACCGCAGGAGAGCACACCACTACACCTAGCTAATTTTTGTTTTGTTTTGTTTTTGTAGCGATAGAGTTTCTGTATAATGCCCAGGCTGGTCTGGAACTCCTGAGCTAAAATGATCCACCTTCTTTGGCCTCCCAAAGTGTTGGGATTACAGGCCTGAGCCACCCCGCCAGGCCTCTTTCTTTTCTTTTTCTTTTCTTCTTCTTTTTTTTTTTTTAAGCTGCTCCTTGCTGAGCAGGGCTAACTAGTAAGCAGTGGTCTGTCCCAATCTTTCTATTATGTTTCTTTTTCTTATTGCTTTGTAACAGCTTTTTGTATTTTGTTTATTTCATCAACCATTTCTTCCTAGATTGTAAATTGTCTTTCAACCTTACCTAAAGTTTGCCATAAAGAAGCTCTGTCAATTTTTAGCTGTTCTTTGAAGATTTTAAAACATTAATTGCTAAAAAGACAGGGACAACAGAAAACATGGGTGGGCTACAAAGTATAAAAAGTCTTGCATAGTCATTACCATTTTGATCCCTGGTTGCTTGCAAATGTGCTTCAAATCCCAGCTTGGGCACTTCCTGTCTGATTGTAGGGATTTTTTTTTTAATTTTTTTTTTTTTAGAGATGGGCATCTCAGGTTGGGCTCAGTGGCTCATGCCTGTAATCCCAACACTTTGGGAAGCTGAGGCAGGTGGGTCACCTGAGGTCAGGAGTTTGAGACTAGCCTGGCCAACATGTTGAAACCCTATCTCTACTAAAAATACCAGAATTAGCCGGGCGTGGTGGCACACACCTGTAGTCCCAGCTACTTGGGAGGCTGAGGTAAGAGAATCGCTTGAACCCGGGAGGCTGAGGTTGCCGTGAGCTGAGATCATGCAACTGCACTCCAGCCTGGGTGACAGAGTGAGAGACTCCGTTTCAAAAAAAAAAAAAAAAAGAGAGAGAGAGAGAAATGGGGGTCTCCCTCTGTCACCCAGGCTGGTGCGATCATAGCTCACTGTAGCCTCAAACTCCTAGTCTCAAGCGATCCTCCTGCCTCAGCCTCCCAAGTAGCTGGGGGTCACAGCTCTGAGCCACCTCGCCAGGCTGCAGGCAAATTTCTTAATCTTGCCGGGCTCCAGTCTTCCAGTCTATAAGGTGGGAATAACAAAATTTGCATATAGGAATTTGGGGAAACGTGTAGTTCTGGGTTTGGGTGAAGACCTCCACTTTTGTAGTAGGTTCATAAATCAAATCAGAGCAAATAGTTGGTGTCTTAAAAACTGTATTTATCTGGGTCTTCTAAGTAAACGGTTTGAGGAGTGGTGGAGGCAGAAATTAAGATTTACTGAGTACTTAGGGTCAAGTAAGGTGCACTGGATCGTGTTAATCGTTAACTCGTGGAAACCGCCCAGAGTGTGTACGCTTTCTTTCTTTTCTTTCCTTTTCTTTTTTTTTGAGACGGAGTTTCACTCTTGTCGCCCAGGCTGGCGTGTAATGGCATGGTCCTGGCTCACTGCAACTCCGCCTCCAGGGTTCAAGCGATTCACCTGCCTCAGCCTCCAGAGTAGCTGGGATTACAGGTGCCCACCACCACGCCCGGCTAATTTTTGTATTTTTAGTAAAGACGGGGGTTTCACCATGTTGGCCAGGATGGTCTCGAACTCCTGACCTCGGGTGATTCGCCGCCTCGGCCTCCCAAAGTGCTAGGATTACAGGCGTGAGTCACCGCGCCCGGCCTGGAGTGTGTATTATCCCAATTTTATGGGGAGTAATTGTGCTCACTCGGCTCACCACCAAGTCGCCAGAGCGCGCCTCCGCAAGGAAGCCCTCCAGGCACTTCTACTTTCCCGGACCCGCCTCCCGCTCCAGCCGGTTACACGCGCCGTTAGCAGCGTGGGCGGAGTTGGTTCTGCCTTCGCGGAACCAACTGGTCCAGCTTCTGGTGTCTCCCCTCGCTCAATTAAAAGCCAGCTCCTCTCCTTTCGGCTTCCCCACGGTGCCTTTCGGGATTTGTAGTCAGACGCGCTTCAGCCGGCTCTGAGGAGAGCAAAGGCAAGACTCCAATTCCCAGCATCCCCCGCGCCCGGAGAGTGCAGCGTCTATTCTCATCCTCTTCACTTTTCCACTCCTCCCCTTACCTCCCTTCTCTTCTGAATTTTCCATTCTGGGCTCTTGCCTGTGAAATCTTTCTTTGCTTTCCCCATCTTTTCCTCGCATTTTTTCACCATCTTTCCCTCAATCTCCAGGAGCCAATGCGAGACTTTGGCTCCGATTAAGCGACGGCCCGAGACTCGGGGTGCGCGAGGAGGATCGACAGAGTGGTGAGGGGACCTAGGAGGGCGGGAGTGGCAGAGGTATGAGAGAGAGAGAGGTGAGTGGGAGGCGAAGAGTGAGAGGAAGGCAGGGAGAAGCTAGGAGATCGGAAGGCGTGGGTCAGGGTGAATGACGTGAAGTAGACTTGGGAAGGGAAAAGAGGTGGCTTTAGATTTGGGAAGCATGGAGGGGAGAGGTTACCGCCGTACTTAGCAGAAGTGGGCTAAGAGATAGAAGATAGGAAGGACGGGCAGATTTGGAGCTTGTAGACTGGTCTGACCAGGATGGGATGGAAGAGAGAGGTGTGGGCTCAATTTTCTTTGTCCCTGTTTAGCCAAAGATGAGACAAGTCATTGAAATACAAAATGATCTTGCAAACACTGGACAGTTAACAATTCTGTCACTTGGTAATTGAGGGAAGACTGGAGTTGAAGGGCAGAAATAGGGTGAGGAGGCAAGAAAGGGAGGGAGATTGGTCAGGTTTGGGAGAAACCAGAGGAGATGAGTGACATGGGAAAGGAGACCACAGAAAAGGTGGGGTTATTGTGGGGACTGATGGATCTGGAATCAGTTAGAAAGGTCAGGGGTGACACTGGCATGGATGGTGAGGTTGCACTTCTGACGTTTGCATTCCTCAGGTGATGGAGAGCACCCCTTCAAGGGGACTGAACCGAGTACACCTACAATGCAGGAATCTGCAGGAATTCTTAGGGGGCCTGAGCCCTGGGGTATTGGACCGATTGTATGGGCACCCTGCCACATGTCTGGCTGTCTTCAGGTGAGAAGCCCCTTCATGGCAGGGAAATGTAATGGGGTCTGCGGAGTGGAATAAAATATCATAGGTAAAAGTGTAGCAGCCTGGAGTCGGGGTGGGGACTGGGGGCAAGGGTTGGAAATTGCTCTAAAGTGTGGAGGCCAAAACAGCAGGACTGGTAAAGTTGTGCTGGAGTGAGATGAGATGTTTGAGAGGTAATTGAGGGCAGAGATGCAGATACAATGCAGCTTCTGATACTAACCTTTGACCTCTGTTCCTGTACAGGGAGCTCCCATCCTTGGCTAAGAACTGGGTGATGCGGATGCTCTTTCTGGAGCAGCCTTTGCCACAGGCTGCTGTAGCTCTGTGGGTAAAGAAGGAATTCAGCAAGTAAGTCTCAGCCAGATACAAATTTCTCAACAGCTACATTTCCCAAACTGCTGTTCCTTGGAGCACTTCCAGGAAGTGTTAATAGATATATCACAAAACTTAAAAATAAATACATTTGGGAAACTCTGCATATTGCCTTTTCCCTTTTATTTATTTCCCAGCTGAGATCTTGCTTTCAAATGTATCTTCCCTCTTAAAGAGTTATGTGTGATATCTGTAATGAGGCTCTGATAAGTAATGCAGTAAAGAATTTGTCTTAGGAAGATACTAATTTCACTCTGTGGAACAGTGTTCCAAGGGTCAGCAAGTTCAGAACAGGCAGAGATGGTGGCTTTTATGGGCCTCCTTTTTGTTTTCCAAATACCCTACTCACCTCTCTGCTTCTGTTCCAGGGCTCAGGAGGAAAGTACAGGGCTGCTGAGCGGCCTCCGGATCTGGCACACACAGCTGCTCCCAGGCGGGCTCCAGGGCCTCATCCTCAACCCCATTTTCCGCCAGAACCTCCGCATTGCCCTTCTGGGTGGGTATGTCACTTCTCTCTCTTCCTAAGCTAGGGCAGGGGAACTGCTGCTTATTAAACCACTAATTAAACTTTGGGAGGGGGAGCTCCTGGGGGCCTCCCCAGAACCTTGTGGTCTCCACGTTGGGAACTCCTTTAGGAGTAAGTTGGACCAGATGTAGTGTGTGGTGTAGGAAATGTCCCCCACTCATGGCCCCTGAGGATAAGGGTGGAAAGATGGCAGAGGGCAGCAAGGAACACAGACAGGGTTCCTTACTCTTTTTTTGTTGTTCTGTTTTGTTTGTTTTTGAGACAGAGTCTCACTCTGTCACCAAGGCCAGAGTGCAGTGGTGTAATCTTGACTCACGGCAGCCTCTACCTCCTGGGTTCAAGTGATTCTCCTGCCTCAGCCTCCTGAGTAGCTGGGATTACAGGCACCCACCACGACGCCAGGCTAATTTTTTGTATTTTTAGTAGAGATGGGGTTTCGCCATGTTGGCCAGGCTGGTCTTGAACTCCTGACCTCAAGTGATCCGCCCATCTCGGCCTCCCAAAGTACAGGGATTACAGGTGTGAGCCACTGCGCCTGGCCAGGGTTCCTTACTCTTGGCCCATCCTGGCCGTAGGGGGAAGGCCTGGTCTGATGACACAAGTCAGCTGGGACCAGACAAGCATGCCCGGGACGTTCCCTCCCTTGACAAGTACGCCGAGGAGCGATGGGAGGTAAGCACTTGGGAGTGTGTGTGTCTCTGCTTGTGCTTCTACTTCCCATGGCCCTTGGGGCATGGTCTCCCTGTTCTCTTCTGTTCTTCAGGTGGTCTTGCACTTCATGGTGGGCTCCCCCAGTGCAGCTGTCAGCCAGGACTTGGCTCAGCTCCTCAGCCAGGCTGGGCTCATGAAGAGGTGAGGAAGCCGGAGGTACAGCAGCTCTCTGCTGTGCCATCTCCTTGGGTCCCTAAGAAATGGTATCTGGGGCTAGTCAAGATCAGAGGACATTAGCTGGAAAAGGCAAGCTGAGTAGAATATAGCCAGAGATACCAAAAAAAAACGTGAGTGGACAAGTGGGGATAGTAGTCTTTCTCTGCATATCACCATCATTGTCCTGGTCTTTGTCTCTAGTACTGAACCTGGAGAGCCGCCCTGCATTACTTCCGCTGGCTTCCAGTTCCTGTTGCTGGACACCCCGGCTCAGCTCTGGTACTTTATGTTGCAGTATTTGCAGACAGCCCAGGTGAGGAGGCAGGGCCACTTAACCAGCATGCTCTGCTCCTCTCAGGTCTCACTGAGAGACTCCTGCCTACAGACTGTTCCCTGATTTTCTCTTCTCTGTCCCTTTCTTCCCATTGTCTCCCTCCCATCCCTCCTCCTTTGTCTCTGCCTCTTTCTCCCTAGAGCCGGGGCATGGACCTGGTAGAGATTCTCTCCTTCCTCTTCCAGCTCAGCTTCTCTACTCTGGGCAAGGTAAGCAGGGGGCTGAAAGGTATAGAGATGGGAAGGGGAAAGCAAGTTGTGGGGCAGTAGAGTAGACTGAGAAGATAAGAATGAAAACAGAACGAACAGAGATGGAGAAAGAAAGAATGAATGTATGGGGTTGGGGGTGGGTGGGTTGTGTTTTGGACCCCAGCTGGAAACCTCTGTTCCTCAGGATTACTCTGTGGAAGGTATGAGTGATTCTCTGTTGAACTTCCTGCAACATCTGCGTGAGTTTGGGCTTGTTTTCCAGAGGAAGGTATGAGCGCCTAGATAAGTGGCTTCCAGGGAAGAAACAGGGTGGTGTGTTGCCTTTGCCTTTAAAAAGGAGTGGGGTCTTGGGGCAGTAGCAGGAAGCAGTTGCCAGAACTGAATACTTGGGTCTCTCGGGGGAGAGAAGTTGGGGGTTGAGGTTCTGCATCTTGGGAGGGATCTGATATTTCAGGCAGGAAGATGTAAGGCAGTGACTTCTGAGACAAGGCATCTGCCTTTCTATTCTTTTCAGAGGAAATCTCGGCGTTACTACCCCACACGCCTGGCCATCAATCTCTCATCAGGTGTCTCTGGAGCTGGGGGCACTGTGCATCAGCCAGGTTTCATTGTCGTGGAAACCAATTACCGACTGTATGCCTACACGGGTGAGGCGGGACAGAGGGCCCCTGGAAGAGGAGGTTGGGGGTGAGGGAATGCCAGTTTATGTTCGTGTTTACCTGGCAGTCTACAGAGCTCTCTGACATTTCTCATGACACTTGAAAGAAGGGCTTGAGGGAGTCTGGGTGTGGGGGTGGCCTCCTCATCCTCTTTCTATCCCTGGCTCAGAGTCGGAGCTGCAGATTGCCCTCATTGCCCTCTTCTCTGAGATGCTCTATCGGTTCCCCAACATGGTGGTGGCGCAGGTGACCCGGGAGAGTGTGCAGCAGGCAATCGCCAGTGGCATCACAGCCCAGCAGGTATTCCCACTTGGGAGAGGTGGAGCAGGAAGACAGGCTGCACTTGGGCTGCGGGGGACAGGGGTCACATTATGGAAGGCTAGCTCTGAGTCTGTTATAATAGGTGGTGGTGAGTTGTCTGTGTTTGAAGAGAAATGAAGGCTTTGGGTGTGAGAATAGGTAGACCCTTGAGGGGAAAAAAACATGGAGGGAGGAGGTATAGATCTGGATTTGTGCCTCGGCACTGCCACATCCTAACTGCGTAAACTAGACATAGTTGTTTTGCCTCTGTGAGCCTCAGTTTCCTCATCTAGTAAATGACAGTTCTTACCTCAGGGTTGCCGGGATAATTCATTGGAAGAATAGGGGCAAAGCATTGAGCTCAGCACCTGTCATGCAATAAATGCTAAAAAAAGAAAATAGTAGCTGCTGCTATTTTAAAGAAAGAAAAACAAAACATTACTGGAAAGGGCGAATGTGCCAGAAAAGGAATATCCCACGTTGCTGGGAGCAGCAACGTGGGATAACAGCTGAACTGGGATAGGTGGAGTTGATGACAGGAGTTATGAGTTTTTAGAATAAGCTGATGTTCCAGTGACATTAGGTGACAGCTCAGATGGCTTTCCTGCCTTCTTGCTGGAGCCCTCATGCCATTCTTGTCTGTTTTCCTAGATAATCCATTTCCTAAGGACAAGAGCCCACCCAGTGATGCTCAAACAGGTATAGACAGGCTCCAAGATGTCAGAGGCTGGCAGCTGGTGATGACATGATGGAAAAGAAAAAGGGGCATCCAAATCTGGGGAAGAAACAGAGGGCCGGGTTGTCTGGGGCAGTATTCTGAGTCCCTACAGTCAACCCTTGCTCCTTGCAGACACCTGTGCTGCCCCCCACCATCACCGACCAGATCCGGCTCTGGGAGCTGGAAAGGGACAGACTCCGGTTCACTGAGGGTGAGTAGCTTCTGGTGGCCAAGTCTTGGTCATTGGCCAGAGAAAGGGCAGACAGTTCAGTCTGCATTTTATTTTTTACTTCATGGACTAGGAGAGAAAAGCTGGCAAGACAGTTTTTTGTTGTTTTGGGGTGAGTCGGTAGTAAACAAATCGTCCCAAATCAATGCACTTTGGATTTGGCTAGGTGAGGGAATAATTCACAGTAATTTGTATTAGGCCTTTCTGAATATGGCTGGATCACACTGGTGTTAAGATGAACCCCTGAGCAGACAAGCATAGAGAATTAGTTTGTAAAATTGCGGTGGGGGCAAGCCCAGACCGCGTCCAGGGCTGCCACCAAGGAGCTGGGGGGATTCCCAATAGGAGCTCCGAGCTTCACTTTCTCGTCTTCTCCCCGCGCCCCTCCCGTCCTGCCGACCCCAGGTGTCCTGTATAACCAGTTCCTGTCGCAAGTGGACTTTGAGCTGCTGCTGGCCCACGCGCGGGAGCTGGGCGTGCTCGTGTTCGAGAACTCGGCCAAGCGGCTCATGGTGGTGACCCCGGCCGGGCACAGCGACGTCAAGCGCTTTTGGAAGCGGCAGAAACATAGCTCCTGAGAGCGCGGGACTTGGACACGGACCTCGGCGGGCGGGACTGGGCGGGGCGGGGCATCAGAACTCAGGTGTTTTTTATTTACGCGTCAGGGCTTTTCTTGTTTAATAAAGTTATGATAGCTAGCAGTGCGGTCCCGGGCGCCTCCCCGTGGGGTTTGCCTTCGCGGCGGACTCGCTCCTCTGGTCTACAGCCTTTGGACCGGTAGGGAGAGGGTGGGGCCAAAGCCAGCTGCTGCGCATGCGCCGGCCGGGGCCCCGCCCCCATGCGCCGCGCGGCTCCAGGGCCACGTTCCAGGGTCGGGTTTGGTGGATTCCTCAGTCCCTGCCGCCGCGGGGCGCCCTGGGATAGCGGCGGGGCCTCCTGGTGAGCGCGCGCCGGGGCGGCCTCCGGGAAGTGGGAGACGCTGCGGGTCCTGGGCCCAGGCCTTGGGATGGGCGGGAAGGCCTGGCCGCGCCGGGCTGTGGGCACTGCAGGAGGCCCCTGTGCAGGTGGAGATCGCCGCGGCCCTGGCGGGACTCTTTGCTGGCTCTTGGGCGCGCTGATGCCCATCATCTCCCTGAGTTTCTGAGCCCTATCTCTCATGTGTCAGTGGTCACCGCCGAATCCAGACACTCCGGCCCTGTTCCGGAAGAGCCCTGATATCCGTGGCTCCATGGCGCTGTCTGTCGATACCATGCACTCTAGCTCTCAAGGAGGAAAGGTTTTGTGGAAGGGAATAGAGACTTGGAATAACAGACCTGTGCTAATTAGAGACGGGAAAGATGGAACAAGGGGAGTGACCCTTCTCCACCCCCATATCCTAATGTGCTCTCTCTCTATCCAGAACAGATCTCGGCCCCTTTCCAAACACTCCTGATGCCTCATTTGCCTCTCGCTTCTTTTCGACCACCATTTTGGGGGCTGAGGCACTCACGGGGCCTCCCCAGGTTTCACTCCGTTTCTACACAGTCGGAGCCCCATGGATCTCCCATCTCCCGGAGGAACCGTGAAGCCAAACAGAAGCGCCTGCGAGAGAAGCAGGCTACTCTGGAGGCTGAGATAGCAGGGGAGAGCAAGGTTAGGGGTCAGACAGCTTGTCCTTGGGTTTCTGAGACTTGGGAGGGGCTGGAGGAGACCGGCTGAAATGCAGTCTGGGGTATACTGGATCCCAGCCTCTTCTGCTTTCTCTTCTCAGTCACCTGCAGAATCCATTAAGGCCTGGAGGCCTAAGGAGTTAGTATTGTATGAAATCCCTACGAAACCCGGTGAAAAGAAAGGTAAGTAGAATAAGTAAGAAGGCCTTTTCTTTCACATATGTGTTGCCCATTTGGCCTGCCGAAATGCAGCCTGGGAACAAGTTCAGTGGTTAGTGGAGCTCTCCTCTGCCTTCACAGATGTCTCTGGGCCCCTGCCTCCTGCATACAGCCCCCGATATGTTGAGGCTGCCTGGTACCCGTGGTGGGTACGAGAGGGCTTCTTCAAACCAGAATATCAGGTTAGTATCTGGCAGGGAGGGGTCCTAAATTGTCTCCAGGACAGAGTGGCCCTTGAATACAACTGGACCTCAGAGTTGAGCTCACATTGTAGACCTTGTCTTCTTTCTGGCTCTGGTGTCTCCAAAGATTTCTCTTGGCAGGTTCCCCCTGGCCAATTCCCTCCTCTCCACTCTCCTCTTATTTGCAGGACAGTTCTTCCTTGAAGTTCTTTCTGTTCTGGAGACAGTAGAGGGTGCTCTTTCCCCAATCCAATTCTCTCTTGCCCCTTTGACTTTTTTTCTTCCTCTAGGCCCGGCTGCCCCAAGCTACAGGGGAGACCTTTTCCATGTGTATCCCACCTCCCAATGTCACTGGCTCCCTGCACATTGGCCACGCACTCACGGTGGCCATACAGGATGCCCTCGTGCGCTGGTGAGAGGGGAGTGGGGGCTGCTTGAGTTCTTGGAAGGGAAATAGGAAGGGCAGGAATGAGTGAGGATAAACATTTAAGCTCAGGGGCTCACAGGAGGGCATTTTTGTTGCAGGCACCGGATGCGTGGGGATCAAGTGCTGTGGGTCCCTGGTTCAGATCATGCAGGAATTGCTACACAAGTATGTCTTTTGTTACCTGTTCCTTTTCTTGGGCAAAAGCAATTTCTTCCCCCAAAGCAACCTGACTCTGTTCATTTGCCCTGAATCTAACTGCAGGCTGTGGTGGAGAAACAACTGTGGAAGGAACGGGGAGTGAGGAGACATGAGCTGAGCCGGGAGGCCTTCCTTAGGGAGGTGTGGCAGTGGAAGGAGGCGTGAGTATGATGGGCAGGACTCGGGGGGCCCAGATGGCAGATTTGGTTTCTTGCCTCCCACCACTATCACTCCTGACTTGTAATCCTTGGCTCTTCCCGACACAGCTCTGACTTCCTCAGAGATGGAAGCTCTGGAGCCTGTTAACATTTGGTGGAGTTTCTAAGCCTTATGTGTGTGGATATTATATATGCATTAGAATATTCGTGTGTGTGTGTGTGTGTGTATATTTTTATATATATATATATATTTTCTTTCTCTTTACTTACCCCAATTTCTCTTGTCTAAATCTCACCTTCTTCCACTCCCCATTCCCACCTTTCAATTCCCATGGAATTACCCTCATTCTTCTGGGTCTGTTATCTCATGCCATCTCTGTGAAGCATCCTTGGATTTCCCACAATATGGCTGTCCCTCCTCTCTTCCTATAGAATCTTTTGCCTCTTTTAATATCTTAGAAAACCCCATACTGGGTTTGTAAGTCCATTTCTATTAGCCTCTAGAGGCTAGATCAATGCCATCCTCACTTGATTTTCCTCCAACACCTGGCATTGCTGGGGGCATCGCTGGGCCTGGTACATAGGAAGTGCTTGGGAAGTGTTTGCTGACAAGGATCTCTCTGGGCACAGGAAAGGTGGAGAGATCTGTGAGCAGCTGCGAGCTCTGGGTGCCTCCCTGGACTGGGATCGAGAGTGTTTTACCATGGATGTTGTGAGTGTTCTGTGCCTTGGTCCCTGTGAGTGATGGGCGATGTTTAGGGATCTGTGTGGGGCAGGGAGGCAGCAATGCCTGGGTCCCTGAGCAGGGTGATGGGCTGAGAAGTGGCTCTTAGAGGTGGACACTCAGGTCATTCCAGGGCTCCTCAGTGGCTGTGACTGAAGCTTTTGTGCGGCTCTACAAGGCGGGGTTGCTGTACCGGAACCATCAGCTTGTCAACTGGTCATGTGCTTTAAGATCAGCCATCTCGGACATTGAGGTGAGGCGGAGAGAGGGAAGCAGGTTTGTGAGAGCTCTGAGGCAGAGTGGTCAATGATTAAGAGCTCAGACTCTGGAGCCAGGGTGCCTGGATTCAAATCTGATGCCTGCCTGTTACAGCTGTGTGGCTTTTGGCAGGCCGTTTAGTCTCTTTAAGCCTCAGCTTCCTCAGTCTGTAAATTAGAGATGATGGAATGCTTGCATCGTGGGGGTGTTGTAAAAATTAAATGAGAATTCACATAGGTGCTTGGCAAGATACCTGGCCATGGCTTAAGTGCTCAGTGAATATTTATTAGAAGTGTGACTGCACGAGCATTGGGTGAGGGCAGAGGGAGGTAGCTCCCGAATCCTCCAAATGGCTTTTAGATGGATTGCAGGGAGGCTGGGCAGATGGATGAGTGGCAGAGTGAAGCCTGGGCATGAGCCTTGCAGAAAGGCTGCCCTCTGACCCAGCTTTCTCGGTGCCTCCAGGTGGAGAACCGGCCCCTGCCTGGCCACACACAGCTTCGACTGCCTGGCTGCCCCACCCCCGTGTCTTTTGGCCTCCTATTTTCTGTTGCCTTCCCCGTGGATGGAGAGCCTGGTGAGCATAGTACTCTGCAGGGTCACCCGTTTACCTCCATTTTTCCTGTTTTCTGGAGCCCATGTTGGGCTGCTAGGAACCCATCAGTCCATCTCTCACATGAACCTTGGTAGTGTTCACCTCAGCGTGGGCACTTACCCAGGGTCTTCTGGGGGATGTACAAAAAGTGCATGTGGTCACTGCCCTTTGAGAGTGTGGTGTGATTCTTCAGGAGTGCGCTACCCAGGAAAGAGATCAATTCTAAGGTATGTTTTGTTTTGTTTGTTTGTTTGTTTTGAGACAGAGTCTCACTCTGTCACCCAGGCTGCAGTGCAATGGCACGATCTCGGCTCCTGCAACCTCTGCTTCCCAGGTTCAAGCGATTCTCCTGTCTCAGCCTCCTGAGTAGCTGGGATTACAGGCGCGTGCCACCAGGCCTGGCTAATTTGTGTATTTTTAGTAGAGACGGGGTTTCACCATGTTGGTCAGGTTGGTCTCGAACTCCTGACCTCATGATCTGCCCGCCTTGGCCTCCCAAAGTGCTGGGATTACGGGCGTGAGCCACTGCACCTGGCCTCTAAGGTGTGGTTTTTACGGTAAATGTTCTGAAGAGCTCAGAGAAAGGGAAGACAGATGAGCTGGAATTGTCAGTGGAAGCTTCTTGTAGGAGCTGGTGCTCCCCCTGAGGAATGTACAGCATTTGTGATTAGGACACTGAGAATCCCCAGTGTCCTCTGGGCACCCAGCAAGAATTCTATTATAGTTGCTTTAATTAATGCTGCCGCCATTTCTTCCATGCAAATTATCAGGGAATTCTTTAGCACCAGAGACCCTCTCAGACCTCTGGTCATCAGCTTATGGGAAACCCTGGGTTCCTATAAACACTGCTCCTACTTTTTTCTAGTCACTCCTGGGGGCCTCTTCCACCTTGACTACTCCCTGCCCCTTCCCCTTTCCAGTTCTACTGCCTTTAGCTATGTTGGCAGTGAGAGGTGAGGATGATGACCAGCTGTAAGTGTTTAAATGTTTATCTTCAGATGCAGAGGTTGTGGTAGGAACCACAAGGCCAGAGACGCTGCCTGGAGATGTGGCTGTGGCCGTTCATCCAGACGACTCGCGATACACAGTAATACCCAGTGCGCTCCTGCACTCTGGCCCGCCCCGCCAATGGCCTTCTCTTCTCTTGGGTTTTAAATGGTGGCTCTTTCTCTCTTGCTTCTACTTCCTTTTCCTGAGACTTCTCTCAGTGGTTCTGATTGGACTCCCTCCTCCTCTTATAGTTTTTCTGTAGCTCAGGGGTTGACAAACTGGCCCATGGTCCTAATCCAGCTTGCGGCCTTTTT
Source organism: Homo sapiens (assembly GCF_000001405.40). Taxonomy (NCBI): domain Eukaryota; kingdom Metazoa; phylum Chordata; class Mammalia; order Primates; family Hominidae; genus Homo; species Homo sapiens. The sequence continues at coordinate 2,263,267 of NT_167247.2, forward strand.
TTTTGAGACAGAGTCTCGCTCTGTCACCAAGGCTGGAGGGCAGTGGTGTGATCTTGGCTCACTGCAACCTCCACCTCCTGGGTTCAAGCAATTCTCCTGCCTCAGCCTCCTGAGTAGCTGGGAGCGTGGCACCATGCCCGGCACGTGCCACCACACCCAGCTAATTTTTTGTATTTTTACAAAAATTAGTAATTAATTTTTTTTAAGTAATGTAATTTTTAAGTAATGTTATTTAGTAGAGACGGAGTGTCACTGTGTTAGCCAGGATAGTCTCGATCTCCTGACCTCGTGATCTGCTCACCTCGGCCTCCCAAAGTGCTGGGATTACAGGCGTGAGCCGCCGCGCCTGGCTGCTTGCAGCCTTTATATTATCTATGGCTGCTATTATATACCCTCTCCAGTTCTGCTGCAGTGGCATAATAGAGTAATTGTGCCGAGAATGAATTTGTCTCTAGGCCCAAAAGCCTAAAATATCTACATTCTGGCCCCTTAAGAGTTTGCTGACCTTGCTCTAGCTTGCTACCTTCCACTTTCTACCTTCTTATTCCTGGGGTTCTCACGCCCCAGCCCAGACCCTTCCAACCCTCACAGGTGCCTGTCCTTGATCCCTCTCCCTTCCCTTCAGCATCTACACGGGCGACAGCTTCGTCACCCCTTGATGGGGCAGCCTCTTCCCCTCATCACAGACTATGCTGTTCAGCCACATGTGGGCACGGGTGAGTGGAAGTCAGGGGAGGGAGAGAAAGTTGGGGGTCCTGGAGGAGAGGGGAGGGAACCAGGAGGAAGAGGAAGGTGGGAGTGGGAGATCCTCATATAGGGTGGTCTGAGTGGGGAATGGGAGGGAGGCACAGACAGAGAAAGTCGCAGGGGCTGGGGCGGTGCAGGTGATGGGGCGGTGCAGGTGATGATGATACATCTGGAAAAGCAAAAGCCAAGGTCAGGTTCAGTACTCACCATGGCTGTGCTCCCCAAGGGGCAGTGAAGGTGACTCCAGCTCACAGTCCTGCCGATGCTGAGATGGGGGCCCGACATGGCTTGAGCCCCTTGAATGTCATTGCGGAGGATGGGACCATGACCTCCCTCTGCGGGGACTGGTTGCAGGTGGTACCACCCTATGTTACCCCATCCTTTGGGGGCTCTCTGTCCCCCTAATCCTCCTCCTAGTTTCTTATTTCTCTAGAGGCCTTCAGTCTTTACTCTTGCCGCTTTTTCTCCAGGGTCTTCACCGGTTTGTGGCCCGGGAAAAGATAATGTCTGTGCTGAGTGAACGGGGCCTATTCCGGGGCCTCCAGAACCACCCCATGGTACTGCCCATCTGCAGGTAACCTCATTTTAACTCCTTTACTAAGGGCTACCCCAAAAGGGAATGTATGGAGCTTAAGGGTGACAATAGGATGGGCTCTGCACCCCTCCGTTAGAATACGAGCTCCGTGTCGGTTTTATTCGCTATTGTATCCTCAGTACCAAGGGCCTGGCATGGCATGGGGTCTTGTGCCCCTGGGAGAAGTCACAGGGCCGGAAGAGCAGTGGACTCACCCTGTCTCTCTTTCAGCCGTTCTGGGGATGTGATAGAATACCTGCTGAAGAACCAGTGGTTTGTCCGCTGCCAGGAAATGGGGGCCCGAGCTGCCAAGGTGAGGCTGCAGTGTAGGAAGGACTGGGGCCAGGGGTTGGGGGAGCTCCCTGAGAATTGGAATGAAGAAATGGGAAGCAGGAGACCTCCTGCCCTGAAGACCTCTCCAGCTGTGGTAACTGAGAGGATGTGTGGGATGGAGGCTGGGCGGCCCAGCAAGGGCTGGCTCATATCCTTACTCAAGCCCAGAATCTTGGCAAGAGGCTTGGGAGGTCCTTTCTGAGTTTTAAAATGACCTCAGAGGCCACTCGTCCTATCTGTGGAGGTGCGGCCGTGCAGGAAGGGCAACATTGTCTAAAGTCCCCTTTCTCTCCAGGCTGTGGAGTCGGGGGCCCTGGAGCTCAGTCCCTCCTTCCACCAGAAGAACTGGCAGCACTGGTTTTCCCATATTGGGTAAGGGTAGGGTAAGGGGAGCTCTTGTGGAGATGGGGAGGGGGGACTGACTGGTTATTCTAAGACTTCACGAATGTCCTCCCGGCAGGGACTGGTGTGTCTCCCGGCAGCTGTGGTGGGGCCATCAGATTCCAGCCTACCTGGTTGTAGAGGACCATGCGCAGGTGGGTAGGAAGAAGCACCCGGAGGGCCGAGTGTGGCGCAGAGCACCTAGCCCAGGAGTCAGAGCTCCGCAGGGCCAAGTCCCGCTCCTGCCTGGTCATGTGCTTCATGCTCATAGTCATGTAACCTTCTGCGCGATCAAGGCTCCCTGAAGTGGCATTTCTTTATCTCACCCCTGGAGGAACCTGGCCACTCTAAGACCACATGAGGACGTGAAAACCAAGTGACATTTACACCTGTCAGCTGTTCTTCCTCACTCTCCCCAACCCCTTCCTACTTTTGCAGGGAGAAGAGGACTGTTGGGTGGTTGGGCGGTCAGAGGCTGAGGCCAGAGAGGTAGCAGCGGAACTGACAGGGAGGCCAGGGGCAGAGCTGACCCTGGAGAGGGGTGAGTGCCTGAGCTGGGGAGGGATGTACAGGGGAGCGGGGGCCTGGGCATCTGGGCCTTTGAGGGGAACAGATCCCAAGATACAGAAGGTAGGGTCAGGAAAGTTGGGAATGGAGCCAAAGGGGACAGCCCTGGTCTCTGGGGGTGGGGGTTGGCCTAGAATGGTGGCAGCAGTGGTCTGAGGTCCTAGAAGCCAAGGTTCCAACTGTCCCCATTCTTTTTCTGTTTCCCAGATCCTGATGTCCTAGACACATGGTTTTCTTCTGCCCTGTTCCCCTTTTCTGCCCTGGGCTGGCCCCAAGAGGTGAGGTGGGTTGAGAGGGCGAAAGTGAAGGGGAAACGATAAGGAAGGGATGGCTGGGCCCCCACAGAGGCTTGAGGGGGGCCTGGGGCCTGGGCCTCTTACTGCTCCTCTTCCCCCTAGACCCCAGACCTTGCTCGTTTCTACCCCCTGTCACTTTTGGAAACGGGCAGCGACCTTCTGCTGTTCTGGGTGGGCCGCATGGTCATGTTGGGGACCCAGCTCACAGGGCAGCTGCCCTTCAGCAAGGTAAGAGCCCTTCAGTGCCCTGCCGCTTTCTGTGACCCCAGTGTTCCCCAAACCTTGTCCTCCCTTCTAACCCCTAATGTGGTCCTTTCCACGTTGCTGATTCCTTTTTCCTAATTCACTTCCTACCCTACCCCCAAAAGTATGGAGGCCAGAGATCCCAAGGCACCTCCAAGGAAACCCCCCTCTGCTGACCCCTCCCTGCCCCCAGGTGCTTCTTCATCCCATGGTTCGGGACAGGCAGGGCCGGAAGATGAGCAAGTCCCTGGGGAATGTGCTGGACCCAAGAGACATCATCAGTGGGGTGGAGATGCAGGTGAGGACGAAGCACCCACTAGAGGGACAAGGTTTGCAGGGTTTGCAGGAGAGAGGAAGGCAGGCTGAGGGAGGAGTGAGGCCAGCAGGTGTGACCCTTGTAGAGGCAGGGCCTTCGACCTGGGTCGTGAATTGCCCCCTTCCATCCCCAGTTGCTGCAGGAAAAGCTGAGAAGCGGAAATTTGGACCCTGCAGAGCTGGCCATTGTGGCTGCAGCACAGGTGAGTCATCGCTGCCTTCCCCCCACCAGCTCTAGCTCACCACCTCTGGCTTCCTCTGCAACCCAGGTCCTGGCCCTGCAGCCACAAAGGCATCTGCCACCCTTCTTCTTCCTCTGGTTGCAGAAAAAGGACTTTCCTCACGGGATCCCTGAGTGTGGGACAGATGCCCTGAGATTCACACTCTGCTCCCATGGAGTTCAGGGTAAGCCTGGGCGAGGGGTGTCGGGGTGAGCAGAGGGCAGCGGGCACCTGTGCAGGGGCAGGGCAGGGGCAGGACTTCTGGTGCTGCTGCCACCTACATGCAGACTACCTCGATTCTCCCCTTCCAGCGGGCGACTTGCACCTGTCAGTCTCTGAGGTCCAGAGCTGCCGACATTTCTGCAACAAGATCTGGAATGCTCTTCGCTTTATCCTCAATGCTTTAGGGGAGAAATTTGTGCCACAGCCTGCTGAGGAGGTAAGAGAAAACAGAGGTGCTTGGGAGTAGGGTAGTCAGGTGTCAGAGGGCCAAGGTGGCATCTGGAAGGAAAGGAGGCAGGGGAGGGGGAGTCAGGCCATCCTGCCCCCTCTGCCTGCAGCTGTCTCCCTCCTCCCCGATGGATGCCTGGATCCTGAGCCGCCTTGCCCTGGCTGCCCAGGAGTGTGAGCGGGGCTTCCTCACCCGAGAGCTCTCGCTCGTCACTCATGCCCTGCACCACTTCTGGCTTCACAACCTCTGTGACGTCTACCTGGTGAGTGAGGCTGGGGGAGGCTTGGTATTCCCATGCCTGCTTCTAATTCCTCTGGAAATTTCCAAGGCAGAGAGCTCTGGAGTTAATAAGTTCCCAATTGTCCCCTCAGTTAGGAGAGGAGAGGAGACGAGGGAGTCTCAGTTCCCCTCTTCCTGGGACTGGTTTTGGCAGTGCAGCCCAGGCACTGTTGCCTGCCTGTCACCTGGGGAGAGGAGGAGGAGGGAGACTTCTAGAAATGTCTGACAAGTCGGTGTCAGAAGGCAGAGGGGAATTTTTTCAGTCCCTGTAGTTGCTGAGTTTGGCCCATGGGCAGGCTGCGTGCTGAGAGAGGCCTGGGAGGGACTAGCAGCGGTCTTTAGACCAGGGGTTCTCACGCTGTCCTACGTCCAAAGCACCTGGAGGGCTTGTTGACTGTGGATCCCCGCCCCGCTCCACTGCCACCCCAGAGTGGCTCCTTTAGCAGGTTGGGGTGGGGGTGGGTGGTGTAATGAATATTCATTTCTTGTCCCAAGTGGTGCTGCTGCTGCTGCTGGCTATGGACCACTGCCCTAGCTCAGCCTTTTAAAAACCTCTGTCCCCTGTTGATAAGCAAAAAACTCAATGATTTTTTTCCCTAAACTACATGTTTCCCTGGAAATCCTGTCCCTGTGTACTGCAGAGAATTGCTGTCCTGGAGTCCCCTTCTTTGTGCTGAGTGTGTCCTGGGACTGTGGATCATATCAGAAGTGCTAAGTGCTTCTGCCTGTCCCTCTCTCCCAGGACCCATGGCCTGCCCCGCTGGCGGGTAGCAGTGGCTGTAGGGAGGAGGGCTGTGGCCCTGGACCTGTCCTCTGACCATTGGCTTCCTCTCCAGGAGGCTGTGAAGCCCGTGCTGTGGCACTCGCCCCGCCCCCTGGGGCCCCCTCAGGTCCTGTTCTCCTGCGCTGACCTCGGCCTCCGCCTCCTGGCCCCACTGATGCCCTTCCTGGCTGAAGAGCTCTGGCAGAGGCTGCCCCCCAGGCCTGGTTGCCCCCCTGCCCCCAGCATCTCGGTTGCCCCCTACCCTAGCGCCTGCAGCTTGGTGAGTCCCAAGCACCTTGGAGTGGGTCTGTGGGTGAATCGGGGGGAGCACCTTCTGAAGGGGTTTGCTGCAGGGGGCTCATCTGCAGGAATGGTTCGTACTTTACTGTGGAGCCCTGGGGAAGATGGATTGTTCCTGCAGGGTTGCTGCGATGACCCTAGGGTCTTGAGGGACAGTATTAGCATAGTGCTCAAGAGCAGGACTCTGTTGCTAGACTGCTATTTTTGAGCTGTGTGATCGAGCCTCAGTTTCCCCCATGTTTAAACTAGGAACAGTAATAGTATATGTTATGGTTGTGATGAGGGTTGGATAAGTTAGTAATAGGGTGTCCCCAAAATCTCAGTGCAGCTTTAATAACTTCAGAAGGATAAATGCTATGAACTCACCCAAAAATTATTTTAAAATTTAACTATTTAAATTTATACTTATTTGGTTTTGAGTTTTGACTAATTCATTTTAAATTCTAATTTATTTTTGGTTGGCCATTTCAATCACAGCAACTAAACAGGCATCAAACACTGATCATCTAAAACCTCTTAAATGACGCCTCACTTTTTGTCATGTTCCTTGAGATAGTGGATTTTCTGTGGTGCTGAGGACAGATCTCATTGCCCTAAGGAGATGGGGTGGATGGGTCGAGAAGAGAGCCAGCAGGGTTGGTACTGAGTCTCCCAGGAGCCCCTTTGCCAATTCTGGGTCCCCCCCATTGCCAGGAGCACTGGCGCCAGCCAGAGCTGGAGCGGCGCTTCTCCCGGGTCCAAGAGGTCGTGCAGGTGCTAAGGGCTCTCCGAGCCACGTACCAGCTCACCAAAGCCCGGCCCCGAGGTGAGGCAAGGCGGGTCCTGGGCTCGGATCCCTGCAGGAAAAGGGGGCTGGTGGGGAAAAGAGGAGAGCCTGAAGGGCCAACCCCCCCATTAGGAGGTGCAGGGTAGGAAGGGAGGCAGGAGCTGAGGCCTTGCCCCTGACAGTTTCTTTCTTTCCAGTGCTGCTGCAGAGCTCAGAGCCTGGGGACCAGGGCCTCTTCGAGGCCTTCTTGGAGCCCCTGGGCACCCTGGGCTACTGTGGGGCTGTGGGCCTGTTACCCCCAGGCACAGCAGCTCCCTCCGGCTGGGCCCAGGCTCCACTCAGTGACACGGCTCAAGTCTACATGGAGCTGCAGGTGACCAGAGGGGATGGGGAGGGTTAGGGCAGGCTTGGGAAGCATGCTGGGAGGAAGGGAGGGGCTGGGCTCTATAAAGTAGGGGAAGGGACCTTCTAATGGAGGATGGAGGCCTGGCAGCAGGCGGATGTCTGAGCCTTTTCTCCCTGTTCTTCCCCAGGGCCTGGTGGACCCGCAGATCCAGCTACCTCTGTTAGCCGCCCGAAGGTACAAGTTGCAGAAGCAGCTTGATAGCCTCACAGCCAGGACCCCATCAGAAGGGGAGGCAGGGACTCAGAGGCAACAAAAGGTAAGGCTGAGGGAGGCCCCCAGAAGGCTCCACCCCTGAGGGAATATGGGCCAGGAGGGGCCTCATTCCTGGATCCTCACCTCCTTTTCTCCTCGTCCAGCTTTCTTCCCTCCAGCTGGAATTGTCAAAACTGGACAAGGCAGCCTCTCACCTCCGGCAGCTGATGGATGAGCCTCCAGCCCCAGGGAGCCCGGAGCTCTAACTCATCATCCCCATCAGTTTTCCTCCCTCTCAGACCTGTCTTTGAGGACAAACAGATTTGTCAGCTGTCAGGGTGCAGTGGGACGTCAGAGACTATGTGGTCCATCGCCTTCATTGTGTAAATGAGGACACAGACTGGCTTGGTCGCAGTGACTGTGGTGTCCTTGAGATGCTCACATTACTGCCCGGCCTGCCTCCCACCTGGAAGTCTGGGAATGAGGAGATTGAGATAAACTTTTGAAATCCCAAACATGTCTGTTTATGGCTCTTTGGTCCCCTTTGCTCCCAGTGGTGACTTTTGTGCTTCTGAGTTGTCCCCTGAGAGCTTGGTCTGGGAAAAGAGGAGGAGGGGTCCTCACTGGAGGAAGAGGAACTTTCTAGTCATGGGTAGGGTATGGGCACAGTGGTTCCGGTTCTACCTCCTTTCTGGACTGACAGTGCCCTGGCTTTTGCAGGCTCTTTCTCCTCCACTTCTCACTAAATGGAAGCTTCCCCGCTCCTTGGCTGTATCCCTAGAGGTGCTGAGAGAAGTAGGACTTCCTCCAGACCTGATGGGCTGCAGGCTGTGCTGCAGATGGTGTGTCCCCACCTTCTGTGCTCTGACACCTGAGTGCCCAGCCTCTGAGTTACACATTCACAGCACAGCCAGCCACCTTACCCACGCCAAACACCATCTCATCTCCATGGAATTCAAGGGCCTGGCCCTTCCACGCCCAGAGTACATTCTGTCCAGCAGCTCTGAGTAGCCTGTCCTGGGCTGGGTCCTCTATGGTGCTAGATGTACAATGCCATTTAATCCTACTGAAAACCTCATGAGGCGGGTGTTAGCTCCATTTTGGAGATTTTTATTTTTACTTTATTTTTGGGACAGGGTCTCGCTCTGTTGCTCAGGCTGGAGTGCAGTGGCATAATCATGGCTCACTGTAGCCTCAACCTCCAGGGCTCTAGTGATCCTCCTGCCTCAGACTTCTGAGTAGCTGGGACCACAGGTGTGCACCACTGTGCCCTGCTACTTTTTTTTTTTTTTTTTTTTTTGGAAACGGAGTCTTGCTTTGTCACCTAGGCTGGAGTGCACTGGTGAGATCTTGGCTCACTGCAACCTCTACCTCTCTGGTACAAGTGATTCTCCTGCCTTAGCCTCTTGAGTAGCTGGGATTACAGTTGTCTGTCACCACGCCCAGCTAAATTTTTTTTGTATTTTTAGTAGAGACAAGGTTTCACCATGTTGGCCAGGCTGGTTTTGAACTCCTGACCTCAAGTGATCTGCCTGCTTTGGCCTCCCAAAATGCTTGGATTACAGGCGTGAGCCACCATGCCCAGCCCTGCCCTGCTAATTTTTAAAATTGTTCTGTAGAGATAGGGTTTTGCCATGTTGGCCAGGGTGGTCTTGAACTTCTGGGCTCAAATAATCCACCTGCCTTGGCCTCCCAAGGTGTTGGGATTACAAGCATAAGCCACTGCGCCCAGCCCCCATTTTGGAGATGAAGACGTGTGCTCAGAGAAAAGTCTCCACTGGGACCTAACCCAATAAATTAGGTGCAGGCTCTTTCTGGCTGCTGTAACTAAACTTCAAATATAATGGTGGCTTAGATGAGGTGGATATTTCTTCTGCTGGGCATAAGTAGTGCAGAGATCTGCAATAATGGGAGCCCACACCTCCTTCAATCTTATTTTCCTGCCATTCTGATGCATTGTCAAACTTCATGTCCAAGGTCTGCACCAGCTCCCATCACCATGTCTGCATTTCCACCCAGAGGGAGGAGGGAAAGAAGGGGATGGGCAGTTTTCTTTTTCTTTTTACTCTGTTTCAGCAAGGTGTTTTTTTTTTTGAGCACCTGCTATGGATGGGCTGGGCCTTATTCTGGACACTTAGATTCATCAGTGAGTGAAACAAAATTCTGTGCCCTTGTAGTACTTTCCTTCTAGCAGGACAGTCAGAAATAACATACAAATGAGTGAACGATATACTATGTTTGAATGTCATGAATGCAGGGGAGGGAAAAAGGATAGAACAAGGTAAGGGGACTCTAATGTGTTTGTGTGGCGGGGGGCAGGTTGTACTTTTAAATAGTGGGTCAGGGCAGAACTCACTGTAAAGGTGAGGTTTAAGCAAAGGCTTGTAGGAGGTATAGGAAGAGCGTTCCAGACAAAGGGAAGGGCCAGAGGAAAACAGATAGAGGCACGGTCAGACAGCTCGAGGAGTAGCCTGGAGACCAGTGTGGTGGGGCAGAGTGAGAAGGGGAGGATGGTGGGAGGTGGAGAAACAGAGGTGAGGGTGGGGAATTGGTGGGGGGTAGGGAAGACTCAAGGCGGACAATCTGGGGCTTGTGTCCAAAATGGTAGCCAGTTGGCTACCTAAAGCATTAAATAAAATAAAAACGTTCAGTTTCTCAGTCGTACTTGCCATATTTCAAGTGTTTTGGTAGTTGCATGTGGCCAGTGGCTACTATGTTCGTCAGCACGGTTATAAAACATTTCCATCATCACAGAAAGTTCTATTGGAAAGCACTGATCTAAGACCTTATAGGCTGTTTCAAGAACTTTGCTTTTCCTCCTCTGAAATGGAAGCTCCTTTCTTTTCAAGGATACTACCAGAAAGTTGCCCACCTCCTTTCTACTTGCATCCTATTGGACAGAACGTGATCACATGGCCACAGCTAGCTGCAAGGGAGGCTGGGAAATGTAATGATCCACATGCTGAGTTGAAATCTACATGACTATCCAAAAGGAGGAGGATGGCTGTTAGGGGGGCCAGTTAGCAGTCTCTGCCACCCCCAGGTCTGGTGAACCCCAAAGCACTCTTCACTGCACTGCTCTGTTTTGAGCCTTGGGAGACAATTCTTTGAGAAAAATAATCTGGAAATCACATCCTGGTGATCTCAGGCCCTGAAGTCTAGGAACCAGGTTGAGGTGCATTTAGCTGTCTGCTCTACCAACCTCTTGGACATTCAGATATCCAGTCCCCCAACTTGTTTGGGGATCCTCACAGCTGCCCCATGGGCGTCACCTGCCCACTACTGCAGGCTAGGGGCAAGTCATAAAATACTAGTCTCCTTTGGAGCCCCCTGCTACCTCTCCTTGGGGGCTAATTGTCCCAGGACAGTTGTGAAGGAAGGTAGACCAATTTTTTAAGTGTTTTTTTTCCACCCTGCCATTTTCTATGCTCCCCTCATCTTCAGTGATGCTCCATACTGAACTCTTGTTGTCTTCTGTCTCCAAAGGAGTCAGTCTCCAATTTCATATGGAGATAATGGAGGGTTGTGTAGGTGTGGGGGGCAGAGTGGGTACCACAGAGGACAGAGAGCAATCCTATCAGTACCCCCCACTGCTCAAGTCTGAGCTGCAAGTTTGTGTTTTGAGAGCTGGTGAGAAGTCAATTTTTTTTTTTTTTTTTTTTTGAGACAGAGTCTTGCTCTGTAGTCCAGGCTGGAGTGCATGGTCTTGGCTCACTACAGCCTCTGCTTCCCAGGTTCAAGCAATTCTGCCTCAGCTCCCCGAAGTAGCTGGGACTACAGGCACATGCCACCATGTCCAGCTAATTTTTGTGTTTTTAGTAGAGATGGCGTTTCACCATGTTGGCCAGGCTGGTCTTGAACTCCTGACCTCAGGTGATCCACCTGACTTGGCCTCCCAAAGTGCTGGGATTACAGGCGTGAGTGAGCCACTGCGCCTGGCCAAGATAATCTTGAGAAGGTGGTCAGGAGTGCCTGCCTCAGAAATCAGCATAAGGAGGACCCTGAACCCCAGGGGACTAGGAGTTATGTGTTGGGACCAGGTTTCCATCCTAACAGCAATCCCTACCATCCTGCCGACGACCTATAAGACAGGCTGTGATATGTCCCTAAGTAGCTTCCCTGTGTGATCCTCACAACAACCTGATGGTGCAGGAATAATGAGAAAAACTCAGAATTGTGTAAAAACAAAACAAAACAACAACAACAAAAACCTTCCCCCAAACTGGGAGGGAGCTGAGAGGCCAAAAAGTGACTCAGACAAGTCCAGCTTGGTGAGTAGATGAGTTTTTTAGGACTTACATACAAGGCACTCCTGGATGGCAGCAGGACAGCTTTAGAGATCCGTGCTGCCTCCCATGCTAAAGCTGCTTTCAAGCTAATTTTCTGACTCTGCCGACTGTGTGTGTGCGAATGGACTGTTTTCCTTGGTGGGTTCCCAGATACTCTCCGGGATGTTTGGGTTCTCAGGGACACCTGCTCCTCGGCCAGGCACCGTGACCTTGGCTCGCCACCTGGCCTTCAGGATTCAGGCAGTGGCATACACCGTTAGGTAACCTGGTAGGGGACCTGTCACACTACAGCAGGTACCATCATTGTTCCCATTTTGCGAGTGAAGAAATGGAGGCTCCAAGAGGATAAGAAACATGCCCAGGAATTCACATGTGGGCTGGTGTCACCTCATACTCACGTGGTTAGTCAGGACAGGCTCAGCTTGCACCTGGCCTCTCCTCCCCAGCACTTGCGCCTGGCTGGGCATCCTCTCACAAGCTGAACCCGTCATCTCTCACCTGAGTGCCCACCCACCTCCCACCCCAATTACCTGTGTGGATCCATGGGCCAGGGGAACCATGTCCTGGGGGTGTTCTGCCTATGTCTCTTTCTTTGGTTTTTGAGCCCCTGGCCCCAATGCTTAAGCAAAGGGAAATGAAATAAAAATCTTGTTTAAACCAAGACCTCTGTCTAGTGCCTGACTTCTCCACTGCTATTAGATCTCAGGTGAGTGACTTGCCCTCTCTGAGCTTCAATTTCCTTATCTGTAAAATAGGATAATGATACCTAGTATGCCACATTCAAGACTGCTGCAAGCATCGAAATAGGGATGCAGGAGAAAAGCAGGACTTCAATAAATGTTGCTTCTCTTTATTCCCAGGTGTTCCAAAGATCTCAATTTGGTGTGTGTTCCTATGCATGCGTATATGTGTGTGGTGTGTGTGTCCCCAAACAACTCCCCAGATGCCTTGTAGGCCTGTGACACTGGTGTTGAGGGAGACATTGTCCATCCCTGGAACCCTCTGCTCAACAGGGGGACAGTCAGAGACTTGAGCATCCAACCCCCACTTCCTGCCAGCTCTGTGCTCAGGGACCCACAGAGTCAAGCAAGTTATTGAATTCAGCATACCGAATTTTATTTATTGCCACTCAGGAGGGTGGGGGCCTGCTGAAAGACAGGGTCGGGGCCTGCCTCCTGCATCCCCGGCCCAAAAGCCCGGGCCAAGAAGGACACAGGCTTCAATGGCTGTCATGTGTTGCAGACAACATGGTGTTGAGATCTTGCATGGTGGAGGGTGACGCTGGTCCCTGAAGGGAGATGGAGGAGGAGGCAGAGCTGGGAACAAAGGGTTAAAGGGCGCGATGTAAGAGAGCTCTCCATTCCCACCACGGAGACATCCAGACCCCAGCAGAGGCCCAAACTGACTCACAAACACACAGCCCCATCTTTCCCCTTCCAAAGAACTACCTTTTCAAGCAATTCCAGGAAGCTGGACTCATAGGAGGAATTTGTCAGAAAAGACTCCTTCAGCTTCAGTTGCAAAGTCATACCCGGCCCTGCGGATCCAGAAGTACAGCTTAGGACCCAGCAGTCAGGGCTGATTCCTCCGGAGACACAGAACCTTCCTGCTCACGCTCCCCGGCACAGTTCCTCTTCCCCAGCAATGCCCCTCCAGAGCCTCTTGGAAGCTCAGGACTGGGGTGTCTCTGTCACTCTCAGGGACCATGAAGTCCCACCCCTTTTCTCTGGCCTCTTCTTGCCACAGGGACCCAGGAGTCCTGCCCTCTAGCCCTCACCTGTTCCATGTGAGCTGCCAAGGAGGGTCAAGAGGAGGACAAGGGGCAGCCCAGACCCCATAGTGGCCACTGCGCTCCTGGGATGGAGGAGACACTGAAGTCCCGGTGGCCTCTCCTTAACAGGCCTGTTTCTACACCCCACTCAAGCCTTAGCATAAGTGTTTGAGGGGAAATGGGAGGAGGAATCTGGTCAACTGGATTTTCCAGTTCTCCCAGTAAGAGAGGACCCAGGAGAGGACCATTCACTGTGCTTTTGGGGAAAATAGAAGGAAGTCCCCTCTCTTCCACTCTGTGTCCCACCCCTCCCTTGTGTCTCCAGGTTTGAGGGAGTGAGTGCGGGTCCTACAGACAGGGAAATGGAGAGGGAAGCGGGGACCAGGGAGGCGTCCCTCCTGCAGGTGTCTGGGCCCCCACCCATGCCCGGGCCTCCCAAGGATCTTTAGAGATTAATTATTAACTGCAGCTAATTTTCATCATTCTTGACACCGAAGGGCTCAGGAATGTGGGCCCAAAAGGGAGGGGTGGATTAAGCCAAGTTTCTTCCAGAACCCAGGTGTCCTGCTCCCTCAGGTTTTTTTTTTTTTAAACACTAGTCAAGTGCAGTAGTGAAAAGAGGAGAAGGAGTAGAACAAGGAGTTGGGTCTATAATGGACTGTGAACACTGCTTCCCCAGCCTTGGTGGCTTTCTAGATGAGAAATCTGGTCATGGGAACTTCCATTGCTGAACATTCTGTTTTACTTGCTCTAACGCATCCTGGATTGTCAGGGGGAGACACGAGTTTCCTCAGACATCCTCTCACTCCTGCCTTGTGCACCCATGAAAAGGGGACACCCACCTACTCCCGGCCGAGACGCCTACAGGCAAGCGCTGGGACAGGCAAGCACAGGACAGATGTGCAGAGGGAGTTACTGACCCTCTTTAGAAACTAGGAAAGTAAGGCACAGAGAGGGTAAGTGACCTGCTAAGGTCACCCAGCCAACAAGTAGCAGAGAGATTAGAACCCATCCCTCTAGCCAGACAAAGAGACACACCAGCCATGGAAACTTGCTTGAACACACAAGGGCACAGGCCAGCATCTTCCTATCTGCCACTTCCCTATGCAGCCTCTCCACCTTCCCCAAAGCCAGCGGGACTGAGCACAGAGAGACAGAGGCAGAGAGAGCACTGGGCAGAGGTGGGGAGAGCAAAAGCAAGATGGGGAAACAGAGATAGAGGCCTGGTCTGCACTGTAAGTGTAAAGTGAGGCAACCAATGACTCCCAGACTTGCACAGGACAACAGGAAGACCACAGTGGGAAGAAAGCATGGAGGAGAAGAGCAGCAGGCACAGGAGGGACGAGCAGGAGGTAGAATTGGGAACACAGAGAGATCTTCCTCGGAGAAGAGTAAGGGCCCTCCCTCCCTCCCTCCCTCCCTTCCTCCCTCCCTTCCTCCCTCCCTCCCTCCCTCCTTTCCTTCCTTTTTTTTTTTTTTTTTTTTGACAGCGTCTCATCCCTGTCGCCCAGGCTGGGGTGCAGTGGTGCAATCTTCTCCTGGCTCAGCCTCCCGAGTAGCTGGGATTACAGGCACCCGCCACCACAGCAGGCTAATTTTTGTATTTTTAGTAGAGACAAGGTTTCACCATGTTGGCCAGGCTGGTCTCCAACTCCTCACCTCAGGTGATCCACCCCCTCGGCCTCCCTGAGTGATGGAATCACAGGCGTGAGCCACCGCACCTGGCCTCCCCCACACTTTCTACAGCCATGTGCTAGGCTCATCACTAAGTATTCCTTTATAGCGCATAAGCGCCTGTGAAGTAGGTACTAGATTACCCCGATTTTAGAGGTGAAATTAAGACTTAGGCCTTGTGACTTGCCAGAGAATGCACAGCTCAGCAGTGGTGGATTCCAGTGCAGTGGACTCAGCCCTGGTACTGAGCTTCTGAGGATTCAGGGCTGTCTGGCTCCAGAGCTGGGGTCTGACCTTCCATATCACACTGTCCCCAAACATGACACGTGTCTTCCTTGGTGCCCCTTATCTCCCCTTTCCCCTTCCCTGTCAAAGGAATGGAAAGCTCTGTCAGCTGCAGCCATCTAGGTGAGACACGGCTCAGGTATTGACCTTCCCAGCCCACTCTTAGGTTTCCAGAAGGTCAGATGCAGTCCTAGACCCTCATGGTTCCCCTACAACCCCAGCTTCCAAATCCTGCTTCCCTGAGGGACTCATACGTCCTGACTTCCAACGGTTGTACTTCTAGGAACAAGAGGATGACCTTGGGATAGGTCATTTGGGTCTCCCCTTTTAAAGGAGGGTCTGGGCTGTGAATTGACTCAGACCTGGGGGACAGGTCCCTAGTCCAGGAAGAGCCCAAGGGCCAGGTGGGGGAGCCCGCAGGCTCTTACTCACTCTCCCCCTCACCCTGTGCTTCCTGGGATCAGGCTGGGACAGGTTAATCCCCTGGGACAACTTGGCGACCTCTCTCTGGGGATGGAGATTCTGGTGTTGGTGGAGGCCCCGGCACAACTGGCTCTCCCGGGACTCATAATAGGCCCCAGAGCCTTTAAAGAGCCTGGGAGATGGGCCTGGCCAACACACTTCAACTGGTGCCATGGACACTGTGCTGGTGCTGCTCCTGGGCCTGCAGGCCTTGGCCGGACCCAGTGAGCACTTGGGCCCAGACAGGGGGTCTTGAGGAAGGACATGAATTTGGGACCCAGTGGGATGGCCAACTCTTCTAACCCCGTTCTATGGTTTATCTTCTTTTTTCAACAGTTCAGCTGACCCTACTGGGGACTTCTGACACAGTATCCCCAGGTCTCCCCTGTCTCTGGAAGTCTCCCCACTGTCTCTGGAAGTCTCTCCTCTGTCTCTGGAGCTCTCCCCGGTTTCTGGAAGTCTCCCACTGTTTCTGGAAGTCTTCCCACTATCTCTGGAGGTTTCCCCACTGTTTCTGCAACTGTCCCCACTATTTCCAAAAGTTTCCCTACTGTCTCTGAAATCTTCCCTCTGTCTCTGGAGGTCTCCCCACTATCTCTGCAACTGTCCCCACTATCTCTAGAAGTCTCCCTACTGCCTCTGGGAGTGTCTCAACAGTTTCTTCAAACTCTGGGAGTTTTCCCAGCAGTCCTCAGTCTTTAGCTCCAGCCGTTTCTGGGAGCACTTCAGGAACAGTCTCCACATCATCAGGTGATATTTCTGTTGCTCAACCCATCTCGGGAGAACCCTTCAGCTCGGTCTGTAGCTCTGGGGTGGGGCTTCCTGCAAGCCTGGCAGTTTTCCAGAACCTCAGTGGAAGCAGCTCCCTTGCCTTTGTGGCTATACAAGGGCCTCTCTTTCTGTTTTCCAATTCATCACCTTTTTCTGTCATGATTAGTTCCTGTTGTATCCTAAGACTTTTTTGGCTACTTCAAGGTCATGAAAATATTCTCCTCTGCATTCTTCCAGAAACGTTATTATTTTAGCTTTCAAATTTAAGTCTATTATCCATCTCAAGTTAATTTCTGTGTATGGAGCGAGGTGGAAGTCAAGATTCATTTTTTCTTCTTATGAATATCCAGAACCATTATTTCCAAGGACCCTCCCCTGTCCCTGCCATTGAACGGTGAGCACCTATCCTGAAAGTCAAGTGACTATTTGTGTGGGTTTTTCGGTAAGTTTTTTTTTTTTTTTGAGGTGGAGTTTCACTCTTGTTGCCTAGGCTGGAGTGCAATGGCGCGATCTCGGCTCACTGCAACCTCCGCCTCCCGGGTTCAAGCAATTCTCCTGCCTCAGCCTCCGGAGTAGCTGGGATTACAGGCGCCTGCCACCACACCCAGCTAATTTTTTTGTATTTTTAGTAGAGACGGGATTTTACCATGTTGGCCAGGCTGGTGTCGAACTCCTGACGTCAGGTGATCTGCCTGTCTCAGCCTCCCAAAGTGCTGGGATTACAGGTGTGAGCCACTGCACCCGGCCTATCAGTCAGTTCTTACTCCAGGGCCACAGTGCTTAAGGACTACAGATTTGTAGCAAGTCTTGAGATCTCATAGTGTAAGTTCTCCCTTTTTTTTTTTAAGAGAGTGTCTTGGTTATTCTCAGTCTTGATTTTCATAACATTATTTCATCAGTTTATTCCAAAAACTTGCTGGAGTCTTGCCTGTGGGTGCATTTGATGTGACCTCTGCTTTGCTCTTGCTTGAATCTCTTCTGTTTTTTCCCTCTGCCCTCTTAGGACCTGCCTCATCCAGTGCTCCCGGAACAGCTCCAACTGTGCCTGGGACTTTAGCACTGAGTGTTGCTGTCTTAGGAGTTCCACTGCCACCATGGCTGGGTGGCCACCACGTCCTCTGGGCTCAGCATCCTGGCCAGTTAAGTCACTCTTCTAGGCACTGGGTCACTTACAGTAAAATGTTGGTGGGCCTATTCTCTCTCATTTCCCTGCAGCCACCCCTGGCTCCTTGGGAGGAGTTCAGGGAGAGTCATTAGCTCCTGCTTTCAACTGTGTTTTAAACCTGTCTGAGGATGTGTCTGTAGCTCAAAGGGGTTTTGGTGGCCTCTGGTCAGACCAACTGCCAGATGCCTGTTACCTGGCTGCTTTCTCGAAAGGTTTTCATCTTTCTTCCTCATGATCTAATCTCTCTGTTCAGGGCGAGAGGCATTCCTTCCAGAGATCACCCCTCCTTCTTCCATCATCCTCCTCCCCTCCCTTTCATTCCTAGAAGGGGAGCATAGGGAATACCACGCGGGAAGTCTGACGGCAGGAAACGAATGGAAGGAAGACAGGAGATCAGGCTCTGGTTCCCCTTAAGGACAAGAATCAGGGTGGAGTGGTGGGGAGAACTGGGGCTTGGAGGAAGGAGAGTGCCTACTGAGGACCCTCCCAGTGCAGAAGCATCACAGACCCAGGGATGCAGAAAATAGGGCCCGAGAAAGACAGTGAGGTGCGGACCTCAGTGATGAGTCTGGGACTGACAGACGTGTCCACAGGGAAGAGGCAATTGAGACTTGGATTGAAGCCCTTTAAACCCCCACCCCCACCCCTGCTGAGATTCTGCTCCCAAGGTGATAGGAGAAAACACCAGAGAGATGAGGTCTCAGAGTCAGAGACATCAGTCACAGAAAGAAAGATGGAAAGTCAGAGGGCAGTGGGGGTCTGGGGGGCTGGAGGCACCACTTACCTCAGTCACTGGCCCTGTCTTTGTGCCCCAGGTCCGAAGCCCCAGAAGGACTCTGTCTCAGACTGGGCCATTGTGTTGATCACTCTCACTTTGGTGGCAGCAATTGTCAGCCTAATGTACGGTATCAAGAAGGTGAGCAATGCCATGGTCCAATGTGTGGGATCCCTGTGCCAGTGGGGCTGGGACCTGGTGCCCCAGGATTCAGAGGAGAACAGGGCTTTGGGGAGGGGAATGACAGCTTGCAGGGCTTGTTGCAGGGAGGGCAAAGAGAGCCCTTGTCTCAGTGGCCGAGAAAAACACCGGTCTGGCAGGGATAGGGGGTTGGGGCCACTGAAAGAGGCGGGGGAGTGCTGGAGGCTGACTGGCACGTGGAAGCACTCAACTCAGCTCTAGGCAATGAAGGACCAGTTCTGTGGAGCCACATTCACCTGGGCTTGAATCCTTGTGCAAGTTACTTAATCTGTCTGTGCTCCGGATTCTTCATTAATAATAATACTTAAATAATAATAATATTACATCGCACTGATTATGTGCTAGGTGTGCTAGGTGCTGTACATATTTTAGTTCACAGCAAGCCAGTGATATAGGAAATATTACTCCTCATTTTACAGATGAGGTAATTGAGTCCTGGATGAAATGAGAATGATGGCATCCATCTCAAAGGGTGGTTGGGAGGATCAAATAAGCTTATGCAAAGAGAGCACTAATGGTGCTTGGCATGTATTATAGTAAGTGCTCAATATACAGCCTTATTCATTATTATTGCTGTTTTTGCTCAAAGAGGAATGCTGAGTGCCTGGGTTGCCAAGAGGAAGCAGCAGTTCATGGGAAGAGCTGGGCTGAGCAGCAGGTTCCCGGGTCCCTAGATTAACCCATCGTACCCTCCCCTCATCTCACAGGCCTGCCAGTTCCGGAGGGAGATGAGTCTGGGGTGTGGCTGTGGCTCTGTGACCCCTTACAGCAGCCACCATGAGGGGGAGGCTGCCAGCCAGCGCTACTCTTGTCAAATGAAAGGTGGGGCTGGGGCAGCTGAGCGCCTACCCTTTGGCCTTCCTTCTTCCTCTCCCAGATAGTCTCATTCCCAGACTCCCCTATCCCATTCACCTTAGCTGGGACCATTTCCTGCAGGTAGATTCCTGGGGTCACTGGCCCCCCCAGGTCTCTTCCACCCACAGCGTAAGGAGGAGTCTACTGTCAGTCACAAGATTCTGCTCTCTGTCCTGCCGCCAGCCATGCAGACTGCGGGAAGGTGCCCAGCTTCTCCGAGGGCAGTTTTCTCATCTGTAGAAGGAAGGACCAGGGCTAAGTGGTCTGCAGGCACCTTCCAGCCCTCACGGAGCCCAGGTCTGGACAGCTGGAACCCCTGCCCCTCACCCTCTCTTCCTAGTCCCACCCTCCTCCCTGACGACCAGAGAAGCTCTTTAGCTGAGGACAGTCTGCTCACGGCTTCCCTTCTCACTTCCCTCCACAGGGAGCCCCCTCAGGCTGGCTCTTGAGCCCCCAAGGCCCTCTGATTCTCTCCCCTCAGGGCAGGTGCAGGACCCTCCTCTGTGGTGCCCCCTCGGTCTGCTATGGGAGGGTGGTGAACAAGTTATTGCTAAATAAAATGGCACTTCCTCCACTTGTCTCCCAGATGCTGTGGGTTTGCCCAAGTGCATGGGCTTTTGTGTCATGTGGGCCCGGAAGGGCCAAGTCTGGTCTCTGCCAGTTACCAGGGCAAGTCATTCCCTGATCCGAGGCTCATTTATCCTCATCTGTAAAGTGAGGGTGACAGGTGATAACTCATAGGTGAGGTGCTTAGTACATTCTTCAGTACATAGAAATGCCCAAACAATGGTAGTTGGCAGAGTTGTTTCGTGACTGGCCTCTCAGCCTCCAGCTCAGATGAAGCAACATAGACTGACTGTAAGAGACTGTTTTGGGCCTCCACCTACCTCCAGGTTTCTCCATCCCAGACATCAGCGTCCTTGGGGTGGAGTTGTAGCTCAGAGAGAAGGGAAGGGGGTGTTCATTCACAAACACTGGTTAGTGCTTATTCTAAAGCAGAGATCCTCCACTTCAGCACAATTGGTGTCCTGGGCTGGATAATTCTTTGCTGTGGAGACTGCTCTGGGCATTATAGGATGTCCCACAGCATCTCTGGCCTCTACCCCCTAGATGCCAGTAGCATCCCACTCCAAATTGTGACAAAAATGTCTCCAGAAATTTCCAAATGTTCCCTGATGTGGGCAAAATTACTCCTCCCTGTACAGAACCACCGTCCTAGAGGCTTGGGTCCCTGGGGAAAGGGGGGGGGGGGAAGGGGACCAGTGAAAAGGGGGACTGTCAGTCACCCGAGTCTACATGGAGTTGCAGAGGACAGCCTGTGTCTGCCTTAGTTTCTCCATCCTGCAGGATATATTGCCTGGGAGGCAGGCTGCCCAGTTCTGAGTAGTCAGTCTTTGGCCTGACTCCACGGAGCCTCATTAATCTCCCATTAATCACATTAATAAGCAGTTGGCCTCCTCTCCTCTTCCCACCTATTCCAGCCCTGCCCAGGGCTTAGGGACAAGTCACACCAAGTAAGGAGAGGAACCCACATGTCCAGTTCTCTAGTCCTCTCATGAGCCCAAATGCCCTGAGGGCCTGGCCTCCTGCCCTCAGGTCCTGGACCTCTCTATGGCCTTTGCCTGCCCCCACTTCCCTCAGAAAGGCATCCTCCGGCCCTGGCTTCCACTCCATCCAGGCGGAGTGGAAACATTTATTGATTGCCTACTGTGTGCCAGACACTGTCCTAGGCTCTGATGACACAGCAGGGATCCAAGGTGCTTACTTTCCATGGAGACCCACAGTGGGCAGAAAGGGGTTGTGACTTCTCTGTGCTAGAGACCCAGGGAGTCTGTCCTCCCCTACTCCAGCCCCAGGCACTGTCACTGGGGAGACAAGGGAGTCTCTGAGCTAATGCTTGCTTTAGGCAGGAAGTGAGGAAGGGAAGGGGGAGCTCTGGGGTGCTCCTAAAAATGAGATGTCTGCATTTCTGTATAGGAGTGAATGGGGACTTCGAGACAAAGAGACAGCCGCTGAGCTGAGGTGGGAGGGAAGAGGTAGAGTGAAAGCAGAAGCCCCTGTACACCGAGCATCTCTTGGCCAAAGATCTTGGCCTCGGTCCTTCTGGGTGGCCTGACCTGTCTGTGTCCCTGGTGAGGGGTGTGACATATGTCCCTGTGGTTCTGTGTCTTGTCTCTGTCACTGCCTCTGCACTCTCCACATATTGTTGTATGACCTCTGAACATCATGAAGCACCTTTCTCTGCAGCGAGGGTCATTCGAGGGCTTTCTCTCGCCTTTGCTCTTTCACCTGATCCTCGCGGACAGCTCCGCCCAAGGTGGCAAGAATGACCATGTGTGAATAAGGGGTGTGGAAGCTGGGCTGATGCGGGAGAGGTGGGAGGGTGCGCGTGAAGCTGGACACAGATCAGAACGTGAACCCCACCCCATCCTGCTCCCAGCCAGAGCTCAGTCCTTCTAGAACTGAGCCATCTGCTCCCCACTTCCCCAGAGCCCTGGAGGCGCCACCCTCACTTCCCTCCACTGGGGCTGGCTCAGGTGCCTGCTCCTTTCTGGTTCCTCTGCCCTGCCCCCAGATCCCACCCCTCGGCAGGCACCCAGGTGCCTGGCTCCATGACGCAGCAGCTGCGGTCTCCTCTTATCAGGGCTCCCCTGTGGGTTGGGGTGGCTCCATTTGTTTAAGACTTAGTCCTGAGGAGCCCCAGCCCCCATGACGTCAAGATTGGCTCCATATAAGGTGAGGGGTCCGCAGCCCATGGTCCCCAAGCAGCCACCCAGCTCCGACATGGCCCAGCCGGTCCACAGCCTCTGCTCCGCCTTTGGCCTCCAGTGCTGCCTCCTCTTCCTTCTAGCTTCTTGGGGGGCAGGTAAGATGCCCACAGGGGATACAGAAGACAGAAACAGCTTGTTTCTTAGTGTTCATAGCGTTGGACAACAAATAGAAATGAATGAAGGGGGCGGGCACGGGGCTGCTACAGACAGTTGTCTAGAGTGTTCTCTGCT
Organism: Homo sapiens; assembly: GCF_000001405.40. Taxonomy (NCBI): domain Eukaryota; kingdom Metazoa; phylum Chordata; class Mammalia; order Primates; family Hominidae; genus Homo; species Homo sapiens. The sequence continues at coordinate 2,285,351 of NT_167247.2, forward strand.
CAAGTTTGCTGGCTAAGGGACATGTAGTAGGAGATGAAATCCAGCCTGTGCTCTGCTCTTTAAAACATGGCTCACAGGGCTGCACCCATCCAGAGGGGGTTTCTTCAAGTTTGCATAAAGACACTGTAGAGGCTGCCAGCCCTGGATGGTGGGGGTAGGCACCTGACATTCATTGAGCACCGTGCACGGAATTCACAGCTGCTCATGGTGATTTCTTTCTTCTTCTTCTTCTTCTTCTTCTTTTTTTTTTTTTTTTTTTTGAGAAGGAGTCTTGCTCTGTTGCCTAGGCTGGAGTGCAGTGGCACAATCTTGGCTCACTGCAGCCTCTGCCTCCCGGGTTCAAGCGATTCTTCTGCCTCAGTCTCCTGGGTAACTGGGATTACAGGCACCTGCCACCACGCCTGGCTCATTTTCTTGTATTTTTAGTAGAGACAGGATTTCACCATGTTGGCCAGGCTGGTCTCAAATGCCTGGCCTCAAGTGATCCGCCTGCCTCGGCCTCCCAAAGTGCTGGTATTACAAGTGAGAGCCACCGTGCCCAGAGACTCATCTCATTTCATCTCAGCATCCCCTGAGGTGGCTAATAATATCCCATCTTATAGTTGAGGAGAGTGGATTCACAATGATTATGTCCCATATCTCACAGCTAGAGGGAGGTAAGCAGGGATTCCAGCTCCACTGCCCCCAGCCCTGGGGGGACAGGTGGAGCTTCTCTCCTGAGAGCTCTGTTTTGTGCAGACCTAGCTTCCAGTCCTGACTCTGACCCATTTGCCTACTCTGGCCTTCCACACCATCTGTAAAATGGGCTGGATGCTGCTGCCCAGCCGTACCAGTATTTGATGCCTACAGAGCATTTACACTGCACCAGGTGTTGCTCTAGGGACTTCATCCACATTTACTCATTTAATCCACATGGAGACTCAGAAAAGTGTGCGTCAAAGGCTCTGTCCCTGTCTTACAGTTGGGAAACATCTCAGGACTTTGATGGGAAAATGACTATGGACAAGTTCGACGAACAAAACATACCCTAAAGATAAGATGAAATTATGAAATTAGTTCACTTAGTCAAGAAACGGACTGCTACTGAACCCGGGGAGCAGAGATGCTGAACACAGGGGCGGTGTGGAGGGCCTGGGCAATTTGGAGGAGGGTCTCCACAAGGCAGATGTAGAACAGCAGATTCAGAGACACTATCTACCCACTGGACAGTCATCCAAGGACAGAGCCATCCACAGGGTGATATTAGAGGCAGTGCCCCTTCCCTGAGCACAGTCAGGTTGAGGCCAGGGGTGGAGGCAGGGGCAGGTGGGTGGTGAATGGCGATGACTGAGGAATCTTTGAGCTGCCTCTGAAAGGTCTCAGCAGTGCGTCCTGTCTGTGCCCTGACTTGATGTCTGTCTCCCCTACCTTGAGGGTCTGGAGACAGAGGTACCACAGCTGCCCAACACCTCCCGGCCCCATCTCTCCCGCCTTTCCTTCCCCTTCCTCTCAGGCGGATTGTCCACTGGCTGCTCTCTCCTCCTTCCATCTTGCAGCTTAAGGAAGAGGAACCTGCAGGGGGCGGAAGGGAATCCACTCCATACACAGTCGCTCTGAGATTTGCTTCAGGGCGGAGATCTGAATTCCTGAGATTCCGATGGGGCCATGTGGGCGTGGTCTCGGAGAGGAGATAGGCGTGGCTGGGCGGCATGGAGGGAGGGGTGGGGAGGACAAGGGGAGCTGGCTGCTCCCATTCTGCAGATTTTGAAGACAAGAGTGAGTGGGTTACAGGTGGGGAGGGCTTGAGGCTGGGCTCGGGTTGTGATGAGGTCGGGTGGAACTGGAGTGTGAATCAGAGCTGGTGCATGGCTGTGCCCAGCAGAGAGAGAGGCCAGGGCAGGAAGGGAAGAGGGACAACTGGGATGGATGAAGCCCTTTAGTCTACCATTCTGGTGAGGAGACCCTGACGTTTGTCCACAGGACCAGTCAACACCCAGACAGATAACTAGATCCTGGAACCCCAGAGTCTGCATCATGCAGTCACAGAACCACAGGTACAATCTAGATTAAATCATCCGAGGGCAGCACAGGTGCAGTCCAGATTAAATCATCACAGAGAGGCATAGGTGCAGTCCAGATTAAGTCACCAGAGGGAGGCACAGGTGCAGTCTAGATTAAAGCATCTGAGGGAGCACAGGTGCAGTCTAGATTAAATCATCTGAGGGAGCACAGGTGCAGTCTAGATTAAATTATCACAGGGAGGCACAGGTGCAGTCCAGATTAAATCATCACAGGGAGGCTCAAGCGCAGTCTAGATTAAATCATCTGAGGGAGGCTCAAGTGCAGTCTAGATGAAATCATCTGAGGGAGCACAGGTGCAGCCCAGATGAAATCATCTGAGGGAGCACAGGTGCAGTCTAGATGAAACCATCTGAGAGAGTACAGGTGAGGCAGGAGATGGGAATTGGGGCTGGGGTCCTTGGAAGAATCTAACAAGAACATTTTCCTATAACAAATGTTATTTGATTTAATTTCTATAACACAAATAATGTATGCTCATTGTAGAAAATGGAAAATAGAAAAAATAAGAAAGAAAAATAAAATCTCTGTATACTCCCTAGTCCCCAAGCAATCATTTGATTATATCTCCCTTTAGCTTTCCTTTTTTTTTTTTGTAGAGACAGGTCTCGCTATGTTGCCCAGACTGGTCTCAAACTGGTGATCCTCCTGCCTCAGACTCCCTAAATGCTAGGATTATAGGTGTGAACAACTGTGCCCACCAGCTTTTCTTTTTCTATGTCTGCATTTTAAGCCACTTATTGAACTCATACTGTATAGGTATTTTAACAAACATTTACCCACATTATTGCAAATGGAGCATGCCATTTATGGGGGTAAGGATACCAGGAAACACTAGAGATGCTCTTTTGGGACAGCGTGCCCTGACAGCGACTCCAAGGCATGAGTTGCTTAGCAAGATATTCTTTCTCCCTTCCTTCCTTCCCTTTCCTTTCCTTTCCCTTCCTTCCTTCCTTTTCTTTCTTTTCTTCCTTTTCTTTCCCTTTCTCTTTCTTTCTTTCTCTGTCTCTCTTTCTTTCTTCTTTCGACAGAGTCTCACTCTGTGGCCCAGGTTGGAGTGTAGTGGCATGATCTTGGCTCACTGCAGCCTCTGCCTCCCAGGTTCAACTGATTCTCCTGCCTCAGCCTCCTGAGTAGCTGGGATTACAGGGTCCTGCCAACACGCCTGGCTAATTTTCATATTTTTAGTAGAGACGGGGTTTCGCCATGTTGGCCAGGCTGGTCTCGAACTCCTGACCTCAGGCCCACAATGGCCTCCCAAAGTGTTGGGATTGCAGGTATAAGCCACTGTGCCCAGCCGATGTCCTCTCTTTCAAATGAGTGAACAAAGCAGATGGCGGGGACCTTTGGCACTGTGCATCGTTTTGATGTTGTGGGATTTGTTCTTATTCTTTTATCCCAGCTGAGCATCCACCTACAGTGTCTTGTACTAAAGTTGGATTTTCCTCTCTGCACCTCCTGCCTATTCTTCAGTGACCAAAACAGTTCTTTTCGGGCTATGATGGTTGTACGTGGAATGAATATCTCCTGGTGAAAACTTACTAGGGAAATAAGTCACTACCAAAGTAGATCGTCTGGGGCAGAGATGCTCCTCTTGTCCTGGGGGTTTACACTGATTTGCCTCTTGGCTGTGTCAGGACCAAGGAATCCCTTGAGCTTTACCTCAGCTTTTTACAATCTATGGTTCCACAACTGTTTGATGCAGATCTAAAATTCTAAAATCTTGTTATCTGAGTCTAGTTATGGACTGTGATCCTGTGGTTTAATGACAACTGGTATCCCAGAATTGGTGGGCCAGAGGCCTTCTTTCAACGTCTTTTAATCTCAGAGCTCAATTACTGAACAGCGGAAGTCGCCCTTGGTCTTCCAGCCTGTGGAGGTCACAAATACATTTGGTTTTTACTTAACGTGCATGATGAAATGTTGTTGGCAAGGCTTTTAAGGAGTTTTCATCAGTCTTATTCTTTCATTCATTATTCAACAAATATTTACAAAGTGCCTCCTATGGATCAGACACTGTTCTAGGCTGGAGACAGCGATGAACAAAACAATAAAAATCCCTGCCAGGCCAGGCCAGGCCAGGCCAGGTGCAGTGGCTCACGCCTATAATCCTAATATTTTAGGAGGCTGAGATGAGAGGATCACTGAAGACCAGAGTTTGAGACCAGCCTGGCCAACATAGTGAGACCCTGCGTCTTAAAAAAAAAAAAAAAAAAAAAGGTGAGGAGGGGGCATACTGGCTCACATTTGTAGTCCCAGCTGACAGGGAGGCTGAGGTGGGGGTACTGCTTGAGCCCAGGAGGTCAGGACTGCAGTGAGCTGTGACCATGCCACTGCACTCCAGCCTGGTGCAGAGTAAGACTCTATCTCAAACAACAACAACAACAACAAAAACCCCGGCCGGATGCAATGGCTCATGCCTGTAATCCCAGCACTTTGGGAGGCTGAGGTGGGCAGATCATGAGGTCAGGAGATCGAGACCATCCTGGCTAACACAGTGAAACCCCATCTCTACTAAAAATACAAAAAATTAGCTGGGTGTGGTGGCATGTGCCTGTAGTCCCAGCTACTCAGGAGGCTGAAGCAGGAAAATCACTTGAACCCAGGAGGTGGAGGTTGCAGTGAGCCCAGATCGCACCACTGCACTCCAGCCTTGGCGACAGAGTGAGACTCCATCTCAAAAAACAAACAAACAAAAAAAGCCTTGCCATTGTGGAAATTTAATTGTATTTATCACATATCAGAAAGTGATGAGTGCTGTGTTATTAAAACACAGCAGAGAAAGTGGCCCAGGAATGCAGAGGCTGCTGTTTTCAAGAAGGTGGCCACAGCAGGTGAGAGGTGGATGGAGCAGGCAGAGGGGTAGGGCTACTGCTCAGGCTCCCCTTACTACCAGGAGAAGGACAGGGCAAAGCACGAGATTATTTCAGAGACTACAATGTGGATTCAACAAACATTTAAATAGCTTCTGTGCTCCAGAGTCTTCCATGGTCCATACTTCCTTTAATCCTCACATTAAGCTGGTGCAGTCAGCATCATGGTTATTTACAGTCGAGAACATGGAGCTTCAGAGCACTTAAGAGACCTGAGCAAGAATGCAAAACCGCTGAGGGACCGAGCCTGGATGTCAAACCTGTCCTCTGATTCTTTAAGGCCAGTGGAAAATGCCCTTTGCATTGCTGCCAGCTCCTTTATTCACTCAATAGATAGTCATTCATCCCTTATCATGTTTAAAAACATCTGGGGCACAGTGAAAAGTCTAATTTTGCCAATTACTTAACCTCTTTGCGTCTCCTTTCCCCACCTGTAAAACAGTAAGATCACACTCCTCACTTCACAGGTTCATAATTATTTGATTAAATAAACAAATATATGAACAGCACCTTTCAGGGAGTCCACACATGTCAGTGTCTTTCCTTCTTTAAAAGACTGGGCTGACCTATTGGCTGTGCACTGTGGTCTTAACCAGCAATGATCTGGGCCCGGGACCCCAGGATGTGTGTTCAGATTCTGTCTCGACCTCTTACTTGCTGGGTGTCCTTGAGAAGATTACTTAACCACTCAGAACCTTGTTTCTTCATCTATAAAGTTTGGAGAATAGGATAGTTCTCAACCTCAACAGGTTCTTGTGAAAAGTAAATAAGTTAATGTATGCCCTCACTTGTAGAACCTGCCTGTCTCATTGTAGAGCTCTAGAAATGTTGCCCATTGCTATTGTTGTGGGACTATGTACAGGTCACTTTTCCTCCGTGAAATGTAAATTTCTCAGATGTAAAATAGGGGAAGTTGACCGCTTCTAAAGAGCCTTATGGAGCATTGGGAGATCAATCACCATAGAAGAGAATCCAGAAAGAGAATGTCTGTGAGGCCACCAGCCACATCCTGGGGCCGGGGAAGGTGTCCAATAAACAATAGCTATTACTGGTATTGCTGCCAAGGAGATCAGGTAATGGGATTGGGACAGTGGAGTGCAGGCCTGATCATTCAGCCCCCTTCTCTCCCCTCATTCTCAATTCCTTTCAGAGACTTGGGCTTCTCTATTACCCTCACACCCTTCTTGTCCTGCCCATATTTCTTTCAAGGACTAAGCTCCCCAGGCCGATTCTGCCCATCAGCAGGCAGGTGGACTGTGGTTTCTTGTGATTGGGAATAGGTCCAGGTTCCGGTTGCCGCCTTGAGCTAACAGGGACCAGAAACCTCAGTTATGTAATGACACTATCTCTTTCACTCTTTGGTGATCTCTTGGCCTTCACTCTTTTGGCTAGGTATCAGAGACATCTCCTCTGTCTCCATCAGGTTGTTTTTCCATGGAATTAAGGCGTGTATCTGTCCACTGATAGGGGTGTTTTCTCTCACACCCTGTCCTTAAACATAGTCAGTCCCTACCACAATCTAGTTGCCTCGTTTACTCCTGTCAGGACCCCCAAGCAGATATCTTTTCCTTTCAGGATGGCCCCTTTCATCTATCCCCAGTTGGCTTTAAATGTGTGAAGAGGGGGACCCAGTGGGGTGACCATAAGGGTTGGGTCATCTCATCCATTCCCCTCATCCAACTTTATCACCGAAATGAAAGCTTCCCATCTCCTTACTCTACCCATCCTCCATTCTTCTTATACATCTCTCACTCACAATTTGTGTCTACCTGCTAATCCCTATGGGAAGTTCTGCCAGAGGTCTTACCTCAATTTCTCACACTGTTACATTTGGGATGGTGTTAGAATGTTATGGAAAGGTGAAGAGTCTAACGTTTACTCCTGGTCTTCTCAGCTATGCCATAGAAAGAAGACTCCATTCCATAAGTTACAGACCCTAAAGGGGCACCTGCACAGTAAAATGCTAGTCCATACATGCCCTCAAAACCTTACCATTGGATAGGCATGGCAGGGAGTGGAGGTCGGCAGGCACGCAAACAACTGTAACGTGAAGTTGAAGGTAACAGGACAGAATGGTGAATAAAGACCTTTTCAAGCACTGAAATGAAGCTGGATTTTATCTGCTTAGACGGATCAGAAAAGATGCCTTAAAGCCAGAAGGCCTTGAGATGGAGAGTTGAGGAGATGTGGAAGGGGATGAGGTGGCATGCTTGCTGAAGGCACAGCCTGAGCCTAGGGGCTGGAGGTGAGAATGGGGAATAGATATCATAGTATTCAGAGGAGACTGGCTGGGGAGTCATATCAGGGGGAACAAAGAGATCCCCTAGAGAAGGAGGTGGGAAGGGGGAGTTGGAGAAGAACATGGGGGAAGTTTCTTATTTGCCTCTCTCCCTCCACAGGTGCTACTACATTCCAAGAATATCAGAAAACTGGGGAACTCTCAACATCCGATCACATATTTCCCCTCACTCCAGGCCTTGTTTATAGTATCCCTTTTGATCACATTGTTCTGCATTCAGGACAAAGACCTCCAGAGCTCCCTAAATCTACAGAAATCCATGAGCAAAAACGCCACTGCAACACCACACGCCATTCTAAGCCAACTGACAAGCCTACAGGCAACTCCAAAACTATAGACCACAAAAGCTCTACAGATAATCATGAGGCTCCTCCCACTTCTGAAGAAAACTCCAGCAACCAAGGGAAAGACCCAATGATCCGGAACCAGCGCTCTGTTGATCCTGCTGACTCCACTACCACACATAAAGAATCCGCTGGAAAAAAACATATAACGCCAGCACCCAAGAGCAAAATAAACTGTCGTAAGTCCACAACAGGCAAATCAACGGTAACAAGAAAATCAGATAAAACTGGAAGACCTTTGGAAAAGTCCATGAGTACTTTGGATAAGACAAGTACCAGCTCACATAAGACTACAACTTCCTTCCACAACTCAGGCAATTCACAGACCAAGCAAAAAAGCACATCTTTTCCAGAAAAAATCACAGCAGCCTCAAAAACAACATACAAGACCACAGGAACCCCAGAAGAGTCAGAAAAAACTGAAGATTCCAGAACAACAGTTGCCTCAGACAAGCTCCTGACAAAAACTACAAAAAACATACAAGAGACCATATCAGCCAATGAGCTCACACAATCTCTAGCAGAGCCTACAGAACATGGAGGAAGGACAGCCAATGAGAACAACACACCATCCCCAGCAGAGCCTACAGAAAATAGAGAAAGGACAGCCAATGAGAACACCACACTATCCCCAGCAGAGCCTACAGAAAATAGAGAAAGGACAGCCAATGAGAACACCGCACCATTCCCAGCAGGGCCTACAGAAAATAGAGAAATGACAGCCAATGAGAATACCACACTATTCCCAGCAGAGCCTACAGAACATGGAGAAAGGACAGCCAATGAGAACACCACACCATCCCCAGCAGAGCCTACAGAACATGGAGAAAGGACAGCCAATGAGAACACTACACCATCCCCAGCAGAGCCTACAGAACATGGAGAAAGGACCCCATTTGCCAATGACAAAACCACATCATCCTCAGCAGAGTCTACAGAACATGGAGAAAGGACCCCACTGGCCAACGAGAACACCACACCATCCCCAGCAGAGCCTACAGAAAATAGAGAAAGGACAGCCAATGAGAACACCACACCATCCCCAGCAGGGCCTACAGAAAACAGAGAAACGACAGCCAACGAGAAGACCACACTATCCCCAGTAGAGCCTACAGAAAATAGAGAAACAACAGCCAATGAGAAGACCACACCATCCCCAGCAGAGCCTACAGAAAATGGACAAAGGACCCCATTTGCCAATGAGAAAACCACATCATCCTCAGCAGAGCCTACAGAACACGGAGAAAGGACCCCACTGGCCAATGAGAACACCACACCATCCCCAGCAGAGCCTACAGAAAATAGAGAAAGGACAGCCAATGAGAAGACCACACCATCCCCAGCAGAGCCTACAGAAAATGGAGACAGGACTCCTTTGGCCAATGAGAAGACCACGCCATCTCTAGCAGAGCCTACAGAAAATGGACAAAGGACCCCATTTGCCAATGAGAAGACCACATCATCCTCAGCAGAGCCTACAGAACACGAAGAAAGGACTCCACTGGCCAATGAGAACACCACACCATCCCCGGCAGAGCCTACAGAAAATAGAGAAAGGACAGCCAATGAGAACACCACACCATCCCCAGCAGGGCCTACAGAAAATAGAGAAATGACAGCCAACGAGAAGACCACACTATTCCCAGCAGAGCCTACAGAAAATAGAGAAAGGACAGCCAATGAGAAGACCACATCATCCCCAGCAGAGCCTACAGAAAATGGACAAAGGACCCCATTTGCCAATGAGAAAACCACATCATCCTCAGCAGAGCCTACAGAACACGGAGAAAGGACCCCACTGGCCAATGAGAACACCACACTATCCCCAGCAGGGCCTACAGAAAATAGAGAAAGGACAGCCAATGAGAAGACCACACCATTCCCAGCAGAGCCTACAGAAAATAGAGAAAGGACAGCCAATGAGAACACCACACCATCCCCAGCACAGCCTACAGAAAATGGAGACAGGACTCCATTGGCCAATGAGAAGACCACACCATCTCTAGCAGAGCCTACAGAAAATGGAAAAAGGACCCCATTTGCCAATGAGAAGACCACATCATCCTCAGCAGAGCCTACAGAACACGCAGAAAGGACTCCACTGGCCAATGAGAACACCACATCATCCCCAGCAGAGCCTACAGAAAATAGAGAAAGGACAGCCAATGAGAAGACCACACAATTCCCAGCAGAGCCTACAGAAAATAGAGAAAGCACAGCCAATGAGAAGACCACACCATTCCCAGCAGAGCCTACAGAAAATAGAGAATGGACAGCCAATGAGAACACCACACTATCCCCAGCAGAGCCTACAGAACATGAAGAAATGACCCCATTGGCC